>NC_000022.11:36133806-36285321 GCF_000001405.40 Homo sapiens | reverse complement strand
GATCAACACCGACCTGAACCTGGAGCGCAGCCACGCCCAGAAGAACGAGAATGCTCGGCAGCAGCTGGAACGCCAGAACAAGGAGCTTAAGGTCAAGCTGCAGGAGATGGAGGGCACTGTCAAGTCCAAGTACAAGGCCTCCATCACCGCCCTCGAGGCCAAGATTGCACAGCTGGAGGAGCAGCTGGACAACGAGACCAAGTACGTGCCCCTGGCCCCGCCCAACCCCAGCTGTCCTGGAAAAAACTCTGGCCCCCCTGCAGTCCTGCCCAAATCTGGGCCACAACCAGCTCTCTGTCTCCTGAGCCTGGGGCTGTTTCCCTCCCTCCTGATGGGGCCCTCATCCCTTCCACAGGTTGGGTGGTTGGGGGAGCTTGTGGGGTTTGAACAGGATTCTCTGTTCCACCTCTAAAGCCAGGAGTTTTGGTGGCTGTGTCTGAGAGTGAATCAGAGCAGGAGGTACAGGGGGGTCCTGCCCACTAGGACAGTTGTCCTATGGGCTCAGCAGGACTGAGACTTCCTTGGAGGGAATGGGGTTTACAGTAGGCCCCCAGACCTCTTTTCCAGTTACATAGATGCTCTTTGAGGTGTGTCGCTTCCCTTACCTGAGCCCATTTCCTCATCTGTAAATGGGGCTATTTGCAGTGCCCGTCGTAAGAAGCCGGGTACACATAGGTGTCTAGCAAAGGCCTCCCTACGTGATCCCTAGATGCCAGTGAGCCCCGGGGAATGGGTGGTCCTGGTTAGGGCTTGTTGGC
This sequence comes from Homo sapiens, assembly GCF_000001405.40. Classification (NCBI taxonomy): domain Eukaryota; kingdom Metazoa; phylum Chordata; class Mammalia; order Primates; family Hominidae; genus Homo; species Homo sapiens. The sequence goes on along the minus strand of NC_000022.11, from coordinate 36,284,563 downwards.
CGGACCCTCTGAAGGAGGGTGTTCCCTCTGAGCCACCTTGTCTGTCATGCAGGGAGCGCCAGGCAGCCTGCAAACAGGTGCGTCGGACCGAGAAGAAGCTGAAGGATGTGCTGCTGCAGGTGGATGACGAGCGGAGGAACGCCGAGCAGTACAAGGACCAGGTGTGGGCGCTGGTGGGGCAGTGAGAAGGGCAGCGGGGCTGGGCAGCAGATGGGGTGACAGGCAGGGCAGTGGGGCTGACTGGCTGCACGCCCAGAGCCCCTAACCGGGGCCACGGGCCACACGTCCATCTCCGCAGGCCGACAAGGCATCTACCCGCCTGAAGCAGCTCAAGCGGCAGCTGGAGGAGGCCGAAGAGGAGGCCCAGCGGGCCAACGCCTCCCGCCGGAAACTGCAGCGCGAGCTGGAGGACGCCACTGAGACGGCCGATGCCATGAACCGCGAAGTCAGCTCCCTAAAGAACAAGCTCAGGTGAGCCGCCCTGCCCACCCGCCCCTTTGCCTCGGCACTTCTCTCAAAAGGTAGCTTGTTCCTCAACCAGAGCCCACAAGCAAGGCACGAATGTCACCAAGAAAGGACTGCACAAAGCAATCCCTGCCCCTTCTGGCTCCTTGCCTTTGAGGCTTTAGCTTAGTGTTTTGAACACACAGTAAACTCTAGGTAGTTTATTCCCAGCTGTCCTAAAAGTCTATTGTCTTTTGAATTGGAAGTTGCTTGAGGCCACCTGGCCCAGTCCTGGCACATGTTAGGTGCCTCAGTTAAATATCTGCAAAACGAATGTGAGCCTCATGAGCAATGCCTACAGAGGTTAAAAACGCTCCTTTGCGTTTCTCAGGGAGTGTTAACACTCAAGAAGTAGTGAATGTTTGAAGCAGAGGATCTTATTCTCTGAGATTCTCATTTCTTACGTGTTTTTTTGTGGGTTTTTTGAGACTCTCATTTTGTGTTTTTTGAGATACTCATTTCTTACATGTTTTTTTCTTATGTGTTTACGTGTTTTTTTTATTTTTTTTGTTTTTTTTTTTTGAGACGGAGTTTCGCTCTTGTTGCCCAGACTGGAGTGCAATGGTGTAATCTCGGCTTGCTGCAACCTCTGCCTCCCGGGTTCAAGCGATTCTCCTCCCTCAGCCCCTGGAGTAGCTGGGATTACAGGCATGCACCACTATGCCCGGCTAATTTTTGTATTTTTAGTGGAGACGGGGTTTTACCATGTTGGTCAGGCTGGTCTCAAACTCCTGACCTCAGGTGCTCCACCCGCCTCGGCCTCCCAGAGAGCTGAGATTACAAGGATGAGCCACCGTGCCAGGCCTTCATGGGGCTCTTTTTGTAAGCATAAGTAGTCAGTATTGTATATGAATTTTCTGCCATGTGGTAGAAAGAGGGTGCCTGTCTTTGTACTCTGTGTGAACAGGCACACCTGTTTACCTGTCTTGGTTTCACCGGTTTTATAGGAGTTGCAACAGAGGATGGCATTTTACACTTACTTTTGTGCCTTTCCTGTTGTAATTGGTCCTGTTTGCCTGAGCTGTTTTTGTGCTACTGTTGTGTGTGAAGATGTCCGACACCTAAACATTTTGCGGGAAGCTTTGCCTGCTTTCCTGAGAGTGGTCCTGTCTAGCTCAGCTGTGGCTCCCAAGACTCCACTTTGCTTCTTTCTGGTGGGAGCAGCCAGGCACCTGGTTTCCCTCTCGAATTCACTTTGAGATGTGTGGGCTGTGCTGTGGCCGCCCCTGGCCTGGCCGGGCCCGCTGACCCTCTGCTTCTACCTCTGCCCCCAGGCGCGGGGACCTGCCGTTTGTCGTGCCCCGCCGAATGGCCCGGAAAGGCGCCGGGGATGGCTCCGACGAAGAGGTAGATGGCAAAGCGGATGGGGCTGAGGCCAAACCTGCCGAATAAGCCTCTTCTCCTGCAGCCTGAGATGGATGGACAGACAGACACCACAGCCTCCCCTTCCCAGACCCCGCAGCACGCCTCTCCCCACCTTCTTGGGACTGCTGTGAACATGCCTCCTCCTGCCCTCCGCCCCGTCCCCCCATCCCGTTTCCCTCCAGGTGTTGTTGAGGGCATTTGGCTTCCTCTGCTGCATCCCCTTCCAGCTCCCTCCCCTGCTCAGAATCTGATACCAAAGAGACAGGGCCCGGGCCCAGGCAGAGAGCGACCAGCAGGCTCCTCAGCCCTCTCTTGCCAAAAAGCACAAGATGTTGAGGCGAGCAGGGCAGGCCCCCGGGGAGGGGCCAGAGTTTTCTATGAATCTATTTTTCTTCAGACTGAGGCCTTTTGGTAGTCGGAGCCCCCGCAGTCGTCAGCCTCCCTGACGTCTGCCACCAGCGCCCCCACTCCTCCTCCTTTCTTTGCTGTTTGCAATCACACGTGGTGACCTCACACACCTCTGCCCCTTGGGCCTCCCACTCCCATGGCTCTGGGCGGTCCAGAAGGAGCAGGCCCTGGGCCTCCACCTCTGTGCAGGGCACAGAAGGCTGGGGTGGGGGGAGGAGTGGATTCCTCCCCACCCTGTCCCAGGCAGCGCCACTGTCCGCTGTCTCCCTCCTGATTCTAAAATGTCTCAAGTGCAATGCCCCCTCCCCTCCTTTACCGAGGACAGCCTGCCTCTGCCACAGCAAGGCTGTCGGGGTCAAGCTGGAAAGGCCAGCAGCCTTCCAGTGGCTTCTCCCAACACTCTTGGGGACCAAATATATTTAATGGTTAAGGGACTTGTCCCAAGTCTGACAGCCAGAGCGTTAGAGGGGCCAGCGGCCCTCCCAGGCGATCTTGTGTCTACTCTAGGACTGGGCCCGAGGGTGGTTTACCTGCACCGTTGACTCAGTATAGTTTAAAAATCTGCCACCTGCACAGGTATTTTTGAAAGCAAAATAAGGTTTTCTTTTTTCCCCTTTCTTGTAATAAATGATAAAATTCCGAGTCTTTCTCACTGCCTTTGTTTAGAAGAGAGTAGCTCGTCCTCACTGGTCTACACTGGTTGCCGAATTTACTTGTATTCCTAACTGTTTTGTATATGCTGCATTGAGACTTACGGCAAGAAGGCATTTTTTTTTTTTAAAGGAAACAAACTCTCAAATCATGAAGTGATATAAAAGCTGCATATGCCTACAAAGCTCTGAATTCAGGTCCCAGTTGCTGTCACAAAGGAGTGAGTGAAACTCCCACCCTACCCCCTTTTTTATATAATAAAAGTGCCTTAGCATGTGTTGCAGCTGTCACCACTACAGTAAGCTGGTTTACAGATGTTTTCCACTGAGCATCACAATAAAGAGAACCATGTGCTACGAGCCGTGTCTGTAGCATTTGTCTGCGGCCAGGGGGCCCTGGACAGGACTAGGCCTGGCTTCTGCAGCCAATGCCGGCTCTGCATCGTCGGGAACCAGATTGGCTGAGGCGTAGGCTGAGCTAGCTGTGGGCGGTTGTGCAGAAAAGCTAAGATGGAAAGGTGGGCTAGGCCAGATCCAAGGAGGCTAAGAGCATCTTAGAAACCTTGGTTCAAGGCCGAGCACGGTGGCTCACGCCTGTAATCCCAGCACTTTGGGAGGCTGAGGCAGGGGGATCACCTGAGGTCAGGAGTTCAAGACCAGCCTGGCCAACATCTCTACTAAAAATACAAAAAAAATTAGCCGGGCGTGGTGGTGTGTGCCTGTAATCCCAGCTACTCAGGAGGCTGAGGCAGGAGAATCGCTTGAACCCGGGAGGCAGAGGTTGCAGTGAGCTAAGATTGTGCCACTGCACTCTAGCCTGGGCGAGAGTGAGACTCTGTCTCAAAATAAATAAATAAAAAAATTTAAAAAAGTGGACACTATCTGGGTCAGCTTAAGAAGGTGACCGATTTTTGGCAAAACAGCTGCATGCACATTCCCTGGCCCTTAGCTTCCTATGTGCCACCCTGCCCTGTCACCCTGGGCAAGTCACTCCCTTCCCGGCTAGCTTCCTTGTCTGTTAAGTAAAGTACACTGGATCTTTGCTGCTGGATGGCGGTCCTTGCACCAGAAGCGTTGGCTCCACGTGAGAACTGCTTAGAAACTATTTCAGACCCCGCCCCCAACCCTCTGAATCCAACTCCACTTTAGCAAGACAAGATCTACAAACGATCTTCATGGCATTTTGTCAGAATCTTTTTTTTTTTTTTTTCCCTGAGATGGAGTCTCACTCTGTCACCCAGGCCGGAATGCAGTGGCTCAATCTCAGCTCACTGCAACCTCCGCCTCCCAGGTTCAAGCTATTCTTCTGTCTCAGCCTCCCGAGTAGCTGGGATTACAGGTGCCCGCCACCATGCCTGACTAATTTTTTTGTATTTTTAGTAGAGACAGGGTTTCACCATGTTGGTCAGGCTGATCTGAAACTCCTGACCTCCAAAGTGTTGGGATTACAGGCGTGAGCCACCACACCTGGATTTTTTTTTTTTTTTTTCTGAGACAGAGTCCCTGTCACCCAGGCTGGAGAGCAGTGGAGCGATCTTGACTCACTGCAACCTGTGCCTCCCAGGTTCAAGTGATTCTCGTGCCTCAGCCTTCTGAGTAGCTGAGACTACAGGCGTGCACTACCACACCTGGCTAATTTTTGTATTTTTAGTTGAGATGGGGTTTTGCCATGTTGGCCAGGGTGGTCTCGAACTCCTGACCTCAGGAGATCCACCTGCCTCGGCTTCCCAAAATGCTGGGATTACAGGCATGAGCCACCACACCTGGCCGTTTCACCCCATTTGAACCTTAGTTTTCTCCTCTGGGAAGCCAAATTAATAAATGTTTTTATCACAGGGCCGTCGTTGAAGCATGTATGACTATGTGTGTGAAAATGTTCTGCAAACCAAAAAGGGCTCAGGTGCTATAATTTTTTTTCTGCAAAGGTTGGGCTTTGAAAGGACTTTAATTAAAGATTTTAACTGTAAGATATTCATAACCTAAAATTGCCTTTTTAACCATTTTTAGGTGAACAGTTTCGTGGAATTACATTCACATTGTTGCACAACCACCATCATCCACAGAACTCTTCTCTTGCAAAACTGACACTTTGTACCCAGTAAACATGAACTGCTCATTCTCCCTCCCCCAGCCCTTGACAACCAACACTCTGCTCCTTATCTTTATAAATTTGACCACCGTAAGAACCTCACATGAACGGAATCATACAGCATGTGTCCTTTTGTGACGGGCTTATTTCACTTAGCAGAATGTCCTTAAGGTTCATCCTTGTTACAGCATGGGTCAGAATTTCCTTCCTCTTTTAAGGCGGAATAATATTCCCTGTGGGTACACGTACCATTTTGCTTATCCGTTCATCTGTCAATGGACACCTGGGTTGCCTCCACCATTTGGCTATGGTGAACGATGCTGCTATGAGCATGACTGTACAAATATCTGGTCAGGTCCCTGTTTTCATGCTGTTGGGTATATTCCCAGAAGTGGAATTGAGGGATCCTATGGTAATTCTATGTTTAAGTTTTCAAAGAACCGTCATATAGTTTTCCACAGCAGCTAAGTGCTATTATTTTATTTATTTATTTATTTAGAGACAGAGTCTCGCTCTGTCACCCAGGCTGGAGTGCAGTGGTGCGCTCTCAGCTCACTGCAACCTCTGCCGCCCGGGTTGAAATGATTCTCCTGCCTCAGCCTCCCAAGTAGCTGGGACTACAGGTGCCTGCCACCACACCCGGCTAATTTCTGTATTTTTAGTAGAGACAGGGTTTCACCATGTTGGCCAGGCTGGTCTCGAACTCCTGACCTCAGGTCCTCAGGTGATCCTCCCACCTCGGCCTCCCAAAGAGCTGGGATTACAGGCGTGAGCCACCACGCCCAGCTAAGTTGCTATCATTTTTAAGGTCATGCTTTGGCACCGCAATGACTCCAGACAAGAGTCTCCTTTGTCTCTTGGCTGCTGGAGGGAAGGGGATAGAGGTTGGCGCATGTCCCTTGGTGCATGTTCCAGAGATCCTGTTGCTGTGGGTGCTCACAGCACCCTCCCTACCCTCCACTCCTCATTTCTCCTGTTTGGGATCCACTGAGCTAGATGCTTCTCCCTCTCCCTGGGCTAAAGCTTATTTGCAGCACCCTCAGTACCTACTAGCAGAGAGGCATTCAAGCTGAAATCCTGCATCTATATCAATTACTCGATTACCTATTTCAAATCTGAATCCAAAAACTACTCTGTTAACTCTGTGTATGAGTCCAGTTCTCTTAAATGTTATATGTGCATCAAAATGAAACACACATTTGTCTAGACTTCAGCAGGAAAATATGAGCTTGATTGTGTTTGTCATTTTTATACCTACTTCTGAACCTTCCTGAAGCTGACACCTGTTACTCAGGGCCCAATTTTTCCATATGAGGAAAGACAAAAAGGATTGTCCATGAGACACTGCTAGTGGCCGGGCTGTGAGTGGCCGGGACCAGTGGCTGCTCCCTCAGCCTCCTATGGGGTCCCCAGGGGCTGTGGGCATGAAACACAATTCCCTTCCCCTGCACTTTGCAGTCCTAGGCTTGTTTGTCTCCGCTAGCCACTGATGCCTTCAGAAGCCCCCATTGTCAAATGCCCAGCTTGAAGCTCGCCACCTCCTTCCAGGGTGCCTTGAAAAAGAGCAGAACAGGGCGCTGGGGTCCCTGTCATGGTGCACACAGACAATGACATCGGGCATGACCTGGCCAAGCACACCTCTCCATTGGCGGGGCAGGGCGGGGTGGGGGTGGTGGCTGTGAGGAGGGCTGTCCACACTTCCAGCTTCCACTAGGTGGTGCTGGCGATGTCACCGCACATCTTCCAAAGCAATTTCAGGGTTCATTTCCCCCTTCGAGTTGGGTTTGCCTTCTCAGTGGCCGAAATTGCATATGGACCCAAGATTTTGGCCCAAGCCCCCTCCTCTGGAGCTGCAGACATCCTGGGTGAATTTTCCTGCGGTGTTGATGGTGAAACTGAGCCCTATTCTTAGTCACTAGATCCTCGGAATCTCCAAATGGATGGTCTCTGCTCACGTCCCACGTCCCTGAAGTTAAGAGACACCTGATTCTCACCTGGATTTGAGTCTGCAGTCCCCATTCTGGTTGCTCCACTATGAGATTACGTTCAGGGAGTCTGTCGTCAACCTAAAATAACAACAGAAAGGGAGTCTCTGAAGATAACAAGTTTATTCTGGAATGAGCAGAAGGATTTGTAAATCTGGGAATACATGATGTGCCAGGACACCCCATGGTGGGACCACAGGCCGACTCAGGGAGACAAAGGAAAGCAGAGGTGGTGTTTTTTTTTTTTTTTTTTTTTTTTTTGCCCCAAGACGGAGTCTCGCTTTGTAGCCAGGCTGGAGTGCAGTGGCGCGATCTCGGCTCACTGCAACTTCCGCCTCCCGGGTTCCAGCAATTCTCCTGCCTCAGCCTCCCAAGTAGCTGGAAATACAGGCATGTGCCACCATGCCCGGCTAATTTTGTACTTTTAGTAGAGATGGGGTTTCTCCATGTTGGGCAGGCTGGTCTCGAACTCCTGACCTCAGGTGATCCATCCGCCTTAGCCTCCCAAAGTGCTGGGATTACAGGCGTGAGCCACCACGCCCGGCTGAAAGCAGAGGTTTTTAAAGCCAAAATGGGGAGAATTATGTAAGTTATTTTAAATAATGATCCCTAGGTACAAGAATTAATAACAAGGGTCACCTTAGCTCAAGGTTAAACAGACAGTTGTTGGGCAGATGTCCTCATAGAGGTGGCCTTTGTGCAGGGCTGTGATTCATTCTGCATGGTTGTGGTTTGGTGGGATCTCTTACAATAGTTCCTGTTATCCAGGAAACTGTGTGTGAGGCCCCCACTTCTTTTCTTTTTTTTTCTTTGAGACAAAGTCTCACTCTGTCTCCAGGCTGGGGTGCAGTGGTGTAATCATGGCTCACGGCAACCTCTGCCTCCCGGGTTCAAGCAATTCTCCTGCCTCAGCCTCCCGAGTAGCTGGGACTACAGGCACCCACCACGATGCCCAGCTAATTTTTGTATTTTTAGTAGAGACGGGGTTTCACCATATTGGCCAGGCCGGTCTCGAACTCCTGACCTTGTGCTCTATCCGCCTTGGCCTCCCAAAGTGCTGGGATTACAGGTGCTGGGATTACAGGCCTCCCAGAGGTGGGATCCATATCATTTAAAGGGACTACATGCTTCCCTTCCCAGCACTTCCATATCAGAGGCAGGCTTATTTCTCACTGGCACATGTTCACATTGCTCCATAACCTTCAAGGAAGGTGACACCAGAACCTAACTTGCTATTGAGGTTAGCAGTTACTAACTACTATAAACTGAATTCTGTCCTCTTAAATTAAAAAAATAAAGTAATAAGTGAGTGCAGCAGATGGTTAAGACCAATCAATTAGTACAGAGGGCTCTACTTACCCCTTCCCAATCAATCAATCAATTAGTACAGACGGCTCCACTTACCCAAATTAAGAGCAATTAGTCCCAATTTTAGCTTTTTCTTTTTTCTTTTTTTTTTTTTTTTTGAGACGGAGTCTCCCTCTGTCACCCAGGCTGGAGTGCAGTGGCGCGATCTTGGCTCACTGCAACCTCCACCTCCCTGGCTTAAGCGATTCTCCTGCCTCAGCCTCCCGAGTAACTGGGATTACAGGCACATGCCACTGTGCCCAGCTAATTTTTGTACTTTTAGTAGAGACGGGGTTTCACCATGTTGCCCAGGCTGGTCTTGAACTCCTGACCTCAGGTGATCCACCCACCTCAGCCTCCCAAAGTGCTGGGATTACAGGTGTGAGCCACCACGCCCGGCCCTAGCTTTTTCTTTAGGGAGTAAATAAATATATTTAAATAATTTTCTTATGCTGGGACATGAAATAGTGAGAGTGCATGCTCTGGAGATAGGAAGCCTGAGTTTGAATTCCGGGTGTCACTAGTTAGGTGCTGTCACTAGCTTAACTTCTCTGAGCTTCAGTTTCCTCATCTGAAGCATGCAGGTGATAATAGTATCTTTCTAACAGTTGTTGTGAGAACTAAAAATAAGTTAATGCCTGCAAAGCATTTAGAAGGTTCCTGGTGCAAAGCAGATGGTCAATAAATATAAGCTATTGCATTTTTATTTTTCTCCATTTTGAAATTTAGACATCACTATTTATTTGCTTCCTATTAGGATATAATTTTTTTATTACTATTTTTATTATTAATATTTTTATTCATTACTTATTATTTATTTATTATTATTAAGTTATCTTTACACTTCTAACTCCCCTCCCCACCTTCTTCTAATATTATATCGCTAGTTTTATAATCCCCATTAGAAACTTTGTAAACAATTTACTTGCAATGTTTTTCTTACGCCCTCACTATGGCCAGTGTTTCTTGACTCCCCATTTTATAAAACGAGGATATTAATCTTCCTTTTCAGTGCCTCCCTTCCCAAGCACTACCATTGTACTTTAATTTTGGTACTGATTGGCAACAAGTTTATTTGGTTCTCATATTTAAATGTTCTGTTTTGTGCTCAAAGTTAAAAATCAAACAAGCGTGTTTACATTTTTGTGATGTTTTAAATACTGTTTACTATAGAGTTGAGTTGTACAATATGGCTGCACATGCTTTGTGGCACAGCTTTAGTTTTTCCTGATGTTTCTAATTGCCTTTGTTTTCCCCCCCCTTGCACTGTTTGCCTTCATGATTTCCTCAGCTTCCCTCAAATTGTGAATCATATGAGGTACTCTGTGAAGTCCCCACAGAACCCTTCCCTTCTTATTCCATCCTGGACTGGTTGTTCTTTAGGCCTGCTGCATGCTCAGCCGTGATCCTTGGATTCCCTTCTCACTGGGTTGAGTTGCTTGTTTCCTGGATCCCATGTCTTTTTCTCTCTTGGTTATCCCCACCCACTCACCATGGGTGCACACACGTGCACACACACGCACGTCCTTCCCACTCCCTCTGTAGCTCTTTCTCAAGTAGCTTTCCAGGAAGTCATGATGTATGGTAACATTTCAATTCCGCTTTAGCTCCATTTCTCCTGTCATCTTTCTAGTTTATTTTCTGGAAGCTTTTCTAGACTTTTTCAACCCTCTCTTGAGTTGTTTATTTTGTCAATCATTTAATTCCCAAGAATTTTTTTTTGTTCTATTGTTTCCCCCTTCTTTTCAGTACATCTTGTTCTCAAGCATACAATTTTATTTTATTTTGAAACAGAGTTTCACTCTTGTTGCCCAGGCTGGAGTGCAATGGCACGAACTCAGGTCACCGTAACCTCCGCCTCCCAGGTTTAAGCGATTCTCCTGTCTCAGCCTCCCGAGTAGCTGGGATTACAGGCATGCGCCACCATGCCCAGCTAATTTTGTATTTTTAGTAGAGACAGGGGTTTCTCCATGTTGGTAAGGCTGGTCTCAAACTCCCGACTTCAGGTGATCTGCCTGCCTCGGCCTCCCAAAGTGCTGGGATTACAGGTGTGAGTCACTGCACCCGGCCAGCGTGAGTTTAAATCTCTCCAAGGACATGAGTTTGATTTTTTCAAAATTATTGTCCATTTTCAAAATTATTCATTTCTTCTGGACTCATTTTGCATTTGTTAGTCTTGGTCTCTTTTCCTTATTTTGTCTTTCTCATATATCTGATCCTAGATCCATTCCTATGTAGGAGGAAGACAAGTCCACTGGCAGGCTTACCTGTGGGGTGATTGGATGGGAACCCCCTAAAGTGTCAGAATACAAGGATATTATTTCTGGGGCTTTTTGATTGAGTCATGAACTCTCTGATTTTTTCATTGGTGTAGACTCGAGGCTGCCTTGAATCCTATATGGGTCATGGGGCTGGTGAACTTCTCCTCTCTCTGAGGCTCTGCCTAGCAGGTGATTCTTCTTGGCTGGATGTCCTCTCCATATTGCTGTGGATCGCAGCTGCCTTCACCCATCTTTATTCGGTTGTCATTTCTTCAGTCAGTTCTGTCTTCTAAATAGCTGTTGAAATCTCTGATCTCCTGTTGGTCTCATTCAAGTTTTTTGTCAGCAGAGAGGGTACCAAGGCAATGTGTGAGTTCTGGAATCCATATGACTGGGTCGGAACCGAGTCTTTAGCCATCAGTAGATTTCTGACCTTGGCCAAGTCATTGAACATCTGTTTCAGTTTCCTTATCTGTTAATGGTGGTACAAATGATACACACTTCAGAGGTTCTTGAAAGAGTACGGTGAGTTTTTTCTAACATCTTAGAGCAGTTAGTGGTGCAAAGTAAAGTCCACACATTGTTCGCCACTATTAGCATTAGTTGCTGTATTAGTCCATTCTCACACTACTGAAAAGAAATACCTGAGACTGGGTAATTTATAAAGAAAAGGGGCTTAATTGGCTCACAGTTCTGCGGGCTGTACAGGAAGCATGGTGGTATCAGCTTCTGGGGAGGCCTCAGGGAACTTCCAATCATGGCAGAAGGTGAAGGGAACTCACTATCAAGAGAATAGCACCAAAGGGGAAATCCACTCCCATAACCCAGTTGCCTTCCAGCAGGCATCACCATCAATGCTGGGGATTACAGTTTGATGTGAGATTTGGGCAGGGACCCAGCCCCAAGCCATATCAGCTGCTATTATACCTATAAGTGCCTTGACTGTGATTTTAGTCTGGTCTCAGAAGGGGTGGTTGAAAAATGCTCTTTTGTCTTCTTAAAGTAATGCCTAAACATGATCAACTTTCGCTCTTTTCCCTCATCTTTGCAGGCAGGATAATCACAAGCCGAACTTGAAAAACTTTTCTCCGTGTAAAGATCTGTTTTTCTTTTTAAAGAGAAAGAATACTGAGAATTCTTAAGACTGAAGGAATGAACACCCTCCTGTAAAGCTGGTGTGAGTGTAAATTGATACAATTTATTTGCATAACGATGTGGTTCTAGGTATGGAAACATTTTTCGATGTTAATACCCTCTGACCTAGTCATTCTGTTTCTGGAAATAGCTTAAGATAGGGTGAGATCGGCCAGACGTGGTGGCTCACGCCTGTAATCCCAGCACTATGGGAGGCTGAGGCGGGCGGATCATGAGGTCATGAGATCGAGACCATCCTGGCTAACATGGTGAAACCCTGTCTCTACTAAAAATACAAAAAACAAAACAAAAAAGCAGGAGCCTGTAGTCCGCTACTCAGGAGGCTGAGGCAGGAGAATGGCGTGAACTCGGGAGGCGGAGCTTGCAGTGAGCCGAGATTGTGCTACTGCACTCCAGCCTGGGAGACAGAGCAAGACTCTGTCTCAAAAAAAAAAAAAAAAAAAAGAAGATAGAGGGGAGATCTGGCAAGATGGCTGAATAGGAACAGCTCCAGACTGCAGCTCCCAGCAAGATCAACACAGAAGGCGAGTGATTTCTGCATTTCCAACGGAGGTACCCAGTTCATCTCATTGGGACTGGTTAGGCAGTGGGTACAGCCCACGGAGGGCGAGCAGAATCAGGGTGGGGTGTTGCCTCACCCAGGAAGTGCAAGGAGCCGGGGGCCTCCCTCCCCCAGCCAAGGGAAACCATGAGGGACTGTGCTATCCAGTCCAGATACTATGCATTTCCCAGTTTTTGCAATCCACAGACCAGGAGATTCCCTCATGTGCCTACACCACCAGGGCCCTGGGTTTCAAGCACAAAACTGGGTGGCTGTTTGGGAAAGACACTGAGCTAGCTGCAGGAATTTTTTTTTTGTACCCCAGTGGCGCCTGGAACCCCAGCAAGACAGAACCGTTCACTCCCCTGGAAAGAGGGCTGAAGCCAGGGAGCCAAGTGGTCTTGCTCAGCAGGTCCCACTCCCACGGAGCCCAGCAAGCTAAGAAACACTGGCTTGAAATTCTCGCTCCAGCACAGCAGCCTGAAGTTGACCTGGGCCACTAGAGCTTGGTAGAGAGAGGGGCATCCGCCATTACTGAGGCTTGAGTAGGTAGCTTTTCCCTGACAGTGCTAAGGAGGGTGGGGAGTTCGGACTGGGCGGAACTCACCACAGCACAGCAAAGCGGCTGTGGCCAGACTGCCTCTCTAGATTCCTCCTCACTGGCAGGGCATCTCTGAAAGAAAGGCAGCAGCCCCAGTCAGGGGCTTATAGATAAAACTCCCATCTCCCCGGACAGAGAGGGCACCTAGGGGAAGGGGCAGCTGTGGGCGCAACTTCAGTGGACTTAAACGTTCCTGCCTGCTGGCTCTGAAGAGAGCAGCGCATTTCCCAGCACAGCGCTCAAGCACTACTAAGGGACAGACTGCCTCCTCAAGTGGGTCCCTGACTCCCGTGCCTCCTGAGGGAGACACCTCATACAGGAGAGCTCTGGCTGATATCAAGTCAGTGCCCCTCTGGAACGAAGCTTCCAGAGGAAGGAGCAGGCAGCTATCTTTGCTGTTCTGTAGCCTCTGCTGGTGATACCCAGGCAAAAAAGGTCTGGAGTGAACCTCCAGCAAACTGCAGCAGACCTGCAGCAGAGGGGCCTGATTATTAGATGAAAAACTAACAAACAGAAAGCAATAACATCAAGATCAACTAAAAGGACCTCCCCTCCCCCAAAAGCCCATCCGAAGGTCATCATCCTCAAAGATCAAAGATAAATTCATGAAGATAAGGAAAAACCAGCACAAAAACGCTGAAAATTCCAAAGACCAGAATGTCTCTTCTCCAAATGATTGCAACTCCTCTCCAGCAAGGGCACAAAACTGGATGGAGAATGAATTTGACGAATTGACAGAAGTAGGCTTCAGAAGATGGGTAATGAGAAACTCCTCTGAGCTAAAGGAGCATGTTGTAACCCAATGCAAGGAAGCTAAGAACCTTGATGAAAGGTTACAGGAGCTGCTAACTAGAATAACCAGTTTAGAGAAGAACGTAAATGACCTGATGGAGCTGAAAAACACAGCATGAGAACTTCGTGAAGGATACACAACTATCAATAGCCAAATTGATCAAGCGGAATATCAAAGATTGAAGATCAACTTACTGAAACAATGTGTGAAGACAAAATTAGAGAAAAAAGAATGACAATGGAACAAATAAAGCCTCCAAGAAATATGGGACTATGTGAAAAGATTAAACCTACAATTGATTGGTGTACCTGAAAGTGATGGGGAGAACGGAAACAAGCTGGAAAACACACTTTAGGATATTATCCAGGAGAACTTCCCCAACCAGCAAGCCAGGCCAACATTCAAATTCAGGAAATACAGAGAACACCACTAAGATACTCTTCAAGAAGAGCAACCCCAAGACACATAATCATCAGATTCTCCAAGGTTGAAACGAAGGAAAAAATGTTAAGGGCAGCCAGAGAGAAAGATCACGTTACCTACGAAGGGAAGCCCATCAGACTAACAGTGGATCTCTCTGCAGAAACCCTATATAAGCTGGAAGAGAGTGGGGACCAATATTCAACATTCTTAAAGAAAAGAATTTTCAACCCAGAATTTCATATCCAGCCAAACTAAGCTTCATAAGCAAAGGAGAAATAAAATCCTTTCCAGACAAGCAAATGCTGAGGGATTTTGTCACCACCAGGCCGGCCTTACATGAGCTCCTGAAGGAAGCACTAAATATGGAAAGGAAAAACCAGTACCAGACACTGCAAAACCACACCAAAATATAAAGACCAATGATACCATGAAGAAACTGCATCAACTAATGTGCAAAATAATCAGCTAGCATCATGATGACAGGATCAAATTCACACATAACAATATGAACCTTAAATGTAAATGGGCTAAATGCCCCAATTAAAACAGACAGACTGGCAAATTGGATAAAGTCAAGACCCGTTGATGTACTGTATTCAGGAGACCCATCTCATGTGCAAAAACACACATAGGCTGAAAATAAAGGGATGGAGGAACATTTACCAAGCAAATGGAAAGCAAAACAAACAAACAAACAAACAAACAAAAAAGCAGGGGTTGCAATCCTAGTCTCTGATAAAACAGACTTTAAACCAACAAAGATCAAAAAAGATCTTTTAAACCAACAAACATCAGTGCAACAAGAAGAGCTAACTATCCTAAATATATATGCACCCAATACGGGAGCACGCAGATTCATAAAACAAGTTCTTAGAGACCTACAAAGAGACTTAGACTCCCACACAATAGCAGTGGGAGACTTTAACACCCCACTGTCAATATTAGACAGGTCAACGAGACAGAAAATTAACAAGGATGTTCAGGACTTGAACTCAGCCCTGGACTGAGTGGACCTAACAGACATCTACAGAACTCTCCGTCCCAAATCAACAGAATATACTTTCTTCTCAGCACCGTATAACACTTATTCTAAAGTCGACCACATAATTGGAAGTAAAACATTCCTCAGCAAATGCAAAAGAATGGAAATCATAACAAACAGTGTCTCAGACCACAGTGCAATCAAATTAGAACTCAGGATTAAGAAACTCACTAAAAACCGCACAACTACATGGAAATTGAACAACGTGTTCCTGAATGATTACTGGGTAAATAACAAAATTAAGGCAGAAATCAAGAAGTTCTTTGAAACCAATGAGAACAAAGACACAATGTACCAGAACCCCTGGGACACAGCTAAAGCAGTGGATAAAGGCCTCCATGTCTCCTCCCTGGAAACAAAGATTCTGAGGACGCTCCTTGAAGGCACCTCAGAAGGTCTCATTGCCCATATGGATGGCCCATTCAAAAACTTCTTGTATCAACGTTTCCTCCTTCCCTCCTGGATCCTCAGTTCTGCTCCTAGAATCACTTCCTAGAAACCCTCTGCACCAGAACGTTGCCTCTGGCTCTTCCTTCACAGGACCCCAGGCCGCAACAGGCTACTTTAGGCAGCATCATGGCCTACATCTTTGTGCTAAGAGTAATGGGAAGCCATTGAATGGTCAGAAGTGGGTGCTCGATCAAATCTATGTTCTTAGGTGGGCACGGTGGCTCGTGTCTGTAATTGCAGCCCATTGGAATGCCAAGGCGAACAGATCACCTGAACTCAGGAGTTTGAGACCAGCCTGGGCAATGTGGCACACACGGATGGTCCCAGCTACTCAGGGGGTCAAGGTGGAAGGGTAGTTTGAGGCCGGGAGGTCCAAGATGCAGTGAGCCATGCTCATGCCACGGGACGCCAGCCTCACAACAGAGTGAGACCAAACAAACAAACAAAAAACCCCCAAAAACCCAAAACATGATCTTGTTAAAGCCCAACCTGGCGCAGTGTGGAGAATGATCCAGGACATGGGCAGGGACGGGCAGTTGCACATGGAAGACCATTCTGGAAGTTCTTGCAGGAGTCTGGGCAAAACGTGAGGACAGACTGGATGGGGGTGTTTGCTGTCTGGATGTCCCTCTTTGCCCCTCTATTACTCGATAATCTTCTCCCAATCTGCACACAGGCCCCTCTGACACTAGTCAGCCTCGAGCGTCCCATGTCAATCCCGGGCTCTGACTCGCAGATGGAAACCACACCTGTGCTCAGCCAGAGCCAGACATGTACAAGCTTTCTGTGGGTGCCCCAGTGGGGTTGGTGGGGTTTTGAGGTCTCAGGGAAATGACCAGCTGGGAAAGTGAGAGTCCAGTGAGCAAGCAGGAGGGGCCATGGAAGCCTCGTTTCCCGAGACCCTGGAAGAAGGATCATGAGGAAGGGAAGTCAGGCACCCAGAGCCCAGGGGAGCCTCCATCGGCACCACAAAGGCACAGCCATCAGTCAGTGCTGATTGGACCCAAGTCTCCAGGACACAAGATGGGGAGAGCTGGGTGGACCTGAGACATCACCTTGTCCAGGTACCCTTCTACAGCTGATGAGGAAACTGAGGCTCAGAGAGGCGAGGTCTCGTGACCACAAGCGGGGTTGAACTCCTGGACACACCTCAAGGTTCCTTGACCTGTTCCTGGCATCTCCTTTCATTTTTCCTTTCTTCCCAAATTAACCTCTTTCCAACACAGCACTTCAAGTTCCCCTGGAACTTCATCGGTCCATCGGTGTCCCCTGGTCTGGAAGAGCACCGACCACTTGCCAAGGCCCCCACCACTCTGCTGCCATCACAACCACCATCACCACCATTACGAGAAAAACTTGAGACTGATGGCCCCCAAAGCTTGGAAAGAGCTGAGAGACCAAAGAATGACTCGAACAAGTCCAGCTTGATGAGTAGGTGAGTTTATTGGGACTTACACACAGGTCAATCCTGGGCGGCGACAAGACAGCTCTAGAGATCTGAGCTTCCTCCCAATGCTAAACTGCTTTCATGCTAATTTTCTGACTGTTTACTTACCGGGTAAGAGCGATGGGACTGTTTTCATTGGTTGGTTCTCACATACTCTCTGGGAAGTTTGGGTTCTCAGGGACACCTGCTCCTCAGCTGGGGACCATGGCCATGGCCCACCACCTGCCCTTCAGTGTTCAAGCAGGGGACATGCACCCTTTAGTAACCTGGAGGGGACCCATCACATGACAACCACCCCAATGACCATCATCAGGAAGCCGCTGCCTGACTGAGATATGCCCCCAGGAGGACAAGGGAGAGTGGATGCTGGAAAGACAGGGCAGGGGACCATCACCAGGGAAAGACTTCATTCTTCGGAGGACATTGAACCTGGGGCTGGGTCTGTAGTGGAGCCGCTGTTTCTTCTCCTGTATCCAACTGTTCTAACTCTTGGGCTTTCTCCATTTTCAGCTCTTTCTTTTCCTGGCCTTCTCATTGCTGGTTCCTTCAAGCCTCCTCTCTATTCTTCCGTCAATATATTCTTTTTTTTTTTTTTTTTGAGATGGAGTCTCGCTCTGTCACCCAGGCTGGAGTGCAGTGGCGATATCTCGGCTCACTGCAAGCTCCACCTCCCAGGTTCACGCCATTCTCCTGCCTCAGCCGCCCAGTTAGCTGGAACTACAGGCGCCCGCCACCATGCCCGGCTAATTTTTTGTATTTTTAGTAGAGACGGGGTTTCACTGTGTTAGCCAGGATGGTCTCGATCTCCTGACCTCGTGATCCGCCCGCCTTGGCCTCCCAAAGTGCTCGGATTACAGGCATGAGCCACTACACCCGGCCCCCCAATATATTCTTTAGTCTAAAGTAAACTGCTTCTTCCCATTCCCCACACTCTCCAGTTCCCATTTTTCCCTTATTGCAGGCTCCAATGTTCCTGCCTTCTCCTTGCTGCACTGCCATCTGCATTAACCCCTCCCCTGCTGTGCTCAGCTATGGAAATGCCAAAGTCCCTAACACTCAGTTCCATAAACTTTACCTCACCCTCTTTATCCCCCTAATAAAATGTTTGCATTTGGGTCAAAAGCGATGGCTCACGCCTGTAATCCCAGCACTTTGGGAGGCCAAGGTGGGCAGATCAAGAGGTCAGGAGATCGAGACCATCCTGGCCAACATGGTGAAACCCCATCTCTATTAAAAATACAAAAATTAGCTGGGCATGGTGGTAGGCGCCTGTAGTCCCAGCTACTTGGGAGGCCAAGGCAGGAGAATCGCTTGAACACGGGAGGCAGAGCTTGCAGTGAGCTGAGATCGCACCATTGCACTCCAACTTGGCGACAGAGCAAGACTCTGTCTCAGAAAAAAAAAAAAGTTTGCATTTTGTCCTGGCCCCTGCCAGGCATATCTCTCCTGGTGGCTGCCCTGCCCTGTGGTCACAGTTCTTGGTCCGCCTGCAGAATCTTATAATTATTGTTGAGAATGTTTAGCTTCTCCTCCAGCTCCTGAGCCACCTTCTTCAGCTCCTCAGCTGTCTCTGACTTTGCCCCCTCATGTAAGTGCTTTGATTCGTACACGAGGTAGACTACATCCAGCACAAGAAAGAAGCTTACAGGGGCCACATCCGTGAGCTTGACTCCTCTGCTCATTTCCAGGATGCTGGGTTCATTAACCCTCTCCACCTGTTCACCGCTTTCAGCTGAGATTGGCTCAGTGACCCGGGGGCGTGAGGCTGAGGCATGCGGTACTGACTGAAGATTGGCTCTGGCTCGTCTGAGGGCACGGATGTCCTTCCCAATGCCTCGTGTGAGTTGGTAAGTATTGCCAGCTAAGGAAAGAAAGTTGGATATGTTCTCACCCAAAAACTCCCTCACCTCCTTCAATTTGTCAAGGCTTTTGATGACCAGGTCGTGGGCTTGGGCTTGTGTCCACCACTTCTTTCCGTAGTCCATGGTACTGCTGGTAATCCCGGTCAAAGCGGCTGTGATTCCCAACTCCATCCCAGGTTCCAAGAGTACAAGGCTGCCTCCCTCTGTGAAGGGTGCCAGACCCATGCCGACGAGGGTCAGGATGCCAGAGGAAATGCTGAGAGAGCCAGACACCACATTGGCGATGGTGGTGCCTTTGTGGACCTTCTGAACCCCATCTGCAAGGGCACGGAGCCTTCTTATGTTATCCTCAAGCTCACTTTTCAACCGAGGAAACTCTTTCAGAAACCAGTTTCTGTACTGCTGGCCTTTATCGTGCCAGTTTTTGTCTTTCATGATCATTTGTCTTGCAAGGTTGTCCAGAGCTTTACGGAGCTCATCTGCCTCATTCCTGCACAAGGAAAGGTTAAAGGATTAAGAAATGCAGTTTTGGCTCGGTGTGGTGGCTCACACCTGTAATCCCAGCACTTTGGGAGGCCAAGGCGGGTGGATCACAAGGTCAGGAGATTGAGACCATCCTGACTAATACGGTGAAACCCTGTCTCTACCAAAAATTCAAAAAATTAGCCGGGCGTGGTGGTGGGCGCCTGTAGTCCCAGCTACTCAGGAGGCTGAGGCAGGAGAATTGCTTGAACCGGGAGGCAGAGCTTGCAGTGAGCCGAGATCGCGCCACTGCACTCCAGCTTGGGCGACAGAGCAAGACTCCAACTCAAAAAAAAAAAAAAAAAAAAGAAATGCAGTTTCCCTGTCTGTGAAATGAGCTCCATGTGATCTCTATCCTGTGTAAATTGCAGAGCTTTCACTATCGATCAAATAGAAACAAATTTTACAAATGGAATTAATTATCTTTCAAACTCAAACACATTTTGTTCATCATAGATACTCCTCAATATTTATTCCATATGGAAATAAATATCTTAAAGGCATCTCAGATGCTCTTTCATGGTAGGTGTTTGATAAAGATGCCTCCTCATTCAAGGGCAGGTCAACACCGTGACTGCCAAAGTGTTTGGAGAGGGAAAACTCTGCAGATGAACAAAGAGCAGTGAGAGTGAGACAAAGAGACCTTATTCCCAGGATGGCAGGAAAGTGAAGCATGAACTTTACCCAAAGAGAGGCCTTCCCTTTGTCCTCAGCTCCTGGGAAGTGATCTCCAGGCCCCTGGAATGTCCTGCCTGGTAGGAACATCTGTCTTTGCCTGGTGATTTGGCCACGGGACCGTATAGGAATCTGATGGATGATGGGGTTTGGGGCTATTTGGTGTCTTTCCTGATCCCAGAGGACCCGGGGACTAAAGGGGTTAGACCTCAGGGAGGGGCTGGAGACTCCAGGTCAGCCATGAGGGCAGCTTGTGATCCAGCCCCAGCAGATACTCTGGACACTAAGGCATGGGTTGAGAAAGAAGGACTTTCTCCTTGACCAACTCCAGCTGGGCTCTTCTGAGCCTCTTCTCCACTAGGCGCCGACCTTGGCCTTCCACAGCCACCCACTGCTTGCTGGACCTGCACCACCCAGCTCAGCAAGAATCTCCCCAAGTCAGTTTAGGGAGGGTCTTCCCCCCTTGCTGTCTGATTACGCTTTGCTATCTGATTATGCTCTTCACCCCCACCATTGATGGGTGAGTGTCTGACCTGCCTTTAGTGAGAATCCTGTTAGGCCAATTTAGCAGGAACCCCCCACTCTGGTGTCTCCTATCAGTCCTGTTCCATCTCCCGCCCCCACCCTGGTGTTGGCTGTGACTCCCCCTCTGTCTTTACTATATTTGGAGCTGGGCTCAGTCTCCCTCCCCTGTAACAACAATCCTGAAAAAAGGCTTCATTTCTGGTTTAATGTGATTCACAGGAATTTTTCCTTAACTGGGTGAGCTTCCCTGGTTGGCAACACCGCATGTGTTTTGTCCCACATTCACACAGGAGAACACAGCGTCCTGAGGACAATGAAGCTTCACACTTAAAACCCTCCCAAACTCTGCCCCGTGTGTCTCTTTCTTAGGCTGATTTTAATCTGTGTTCTTTCCGTGTGATCAACCACAATTGTGAAATAGCAGTTTTCAGTGAGTTATGTGAGTCCTTCCAGTGAATTACAAAATCAAAGGATGGATTTAGAAATCCCCTTAAATTTGCAGGTGGTGTCAAAGGTAAGGGTGCCCTCAGACATTGCAGTCTGGCTATCTCTGAGTACTTTGAATTCAAACAAAAACAAAACCCCGGAGAGACAGGAGTTCACTTTGCCTGGCATCTGCTCCCTTCCAATGCCTCATGCCCTTTCACCTGGCTGAAGGCTACTGGTTCTGGCCACTGCCCCAGCTGACTGGAGTGGGAGATCTGGCTATTCATTCTGGCTCCACATGGACGCTCCAGCCACCTTACTGCCTCCTGACCTACCACCTGCACCCCCAACCTTCCAGGTCTCACTCGCAGGTGTCACCAGCCTAACTGATGCCTTAGTAGTGACAGCTTCACCTGTGTGCACACCAAGGCCATTTGCAATTTTATGGAACCTCTAGAAGATTCAAAACACTTTCAGAACCACCTATATAAATTGCTAATGCTGAAAAGACCTGAATTTGGACAAGATGGTAGAGGAAGTGTTTTCCTCCTTGGTTGGGAAGTTGTGAGTCTGCTCAGTATCCCTGAAATTACACAAATTGGCAGCAACTAATTCTACTATGAAAATGGTCACTAAGACATACTGCTTGTCAATGTCAGGGGTTTCTCTGTGTAGAAGAGAAGAAGGTCTCAAAGGGTAGCCCAGAACTTGCCAGTTCCAAGGCGTGGTGTGAGAGACACAGGCAACCATGACCCTATATGCCCATGAGTGTTGGGATCATCCAGACAGGGAAGAAATATCCCTCTCCCACTCACATGTCCTCTGCAAGTTCATGACCTCCTTAAGTTTCAAGCCCTTGGTGCCTCTCTTTCCACACCCTAGTCCCAGCCCTGGTGCCCCAGCCTTCCTGCTTGTCCTACAACCAAGGCTGACTCTTGCTCCATCCTGACTCCAGGCTCTGACGCTGATCCCGGTCTCTCTGGGCCTTTGGGCAGGATCTTGGTGTTGGTTCCCCACCTTTGACCTGGAGTTGCCTCTAAGGCCTTCACCACACTCCTATCACATTGAGTTGCTATTCCTATTAGACTGATGACAGTTTCCAGTCTCTGACATAAGCCCAGAGCCCAGGGACTGGACACAGACAGAGCTGGAAAGAGACCCAGCGCTGTGCAACTCCACTCCAGCCTCTCGGCATCCTGGACCAGCAGAAGGGTCCTGCCGTGTTTATGGAATTCCTCAGATGAGAAAAAGGGCTCCAGCCAGCATCCCCAGGAACACACATTGGTTAGGTCAGGATTTTTCTGACTTGTCCCAAAGGTCAAGTCCTGCTGGGCTCCCATCTTCAAGAAGAAGATCCTTAACCCTGGTTCTGTTTCCACCAAGCTTGTAAGATGTTAACGTTAACTGTGCACCTACTGTGTGTCAGTCATTATGCTAAGCACTTTACATGCACGATCTCATTTTTCTCACAATAAAACTCCATTGATGAAGAAAGGCTGAAAGTGAGAAAGTAACTGGCAAAGTTCCCATCACCAGCAGATGGCAGAAATGACCCTGTTCCTGTGGGCTTCCTATCCCCTCAGCCTGAGGCTACTCACTGCCAGCGAAGGACATGGAGGAAATATTCTTCCTGGAGTGCCAAGAAGGTCATCCTCAAGCCCAGCAGAGGGGGCTGCCTGGAGGAGGTGTGCCTGTCAGGGAAAACTAGCCCAGGGGAGAGCTGGGTGGCATCGCCGGAGTGCCCAATGGAGGTAACCCCATGGAGCTTACCTGGGCAGTTCAGCAGCAGCCACGAATCCGTTCCAGGCCTCATTATCAGTCAGCAGGAGTAGCAGATTCTGTGTGCTCACTTTTTCCTTGAAATACTTAATGGCATCCTCAATAAAGATACTGCTCTCTAGTTGGAAAGAAGAAAGGATAAGGTTGGAGGAAAGTGTGGGAGTGCATAACAGCCATTGCATAAGAGATGACTACATGTTAATTTTCCTGGACAGCTGTGATGTGGGACTTGTTTTATGGAGTCATTAGTGCTATAGAGGGAATTGTGTGCCCCCAAAATTCATATGCTGAAGCTTTAAACTCAGGTGACTACATTTGGAGATCTGGCCTTTAAGGAAGCAATTAAGACTGAATGAGATCACAAGGGTAGGGCTCTAATTCTATTAGAGGGCTAGTGTCCTATTGTAAGAACAGAAAGGGACACAAGAAGACTGTGTGAGCACACAGTGCAAAGGCAGCTTCCATAAGCCAGCAAGAGAGTCCTCCCCAGACTCCAACCCTTTTGGCACCTTCACCTTGGACTTCTTGCCTCTGGATCTGTGAGAAAATAAAAGCCAGATGTTGAAGTCACCCAGCCTGTGATATTTTACTATGGCAGCCTGAGAACATTGAAACACCAGGGGAGTGCCATGGTGCTTTGGAGAGGAATGAATCCTTTTCAGCTCAGCACCAACATGAAGTGAGCCTTCCAGGCCAAGGAAGTGGAAACATCCCAGTGATCACTTCCATCTGCCACATGCCTGTTGGGTCAAACACTTTATACCAGTGTCTTCAAAATGTGAATATCAACACATCATTGGGTTATGAAATTATTGGTTCAAAAGCAGCATTTTAAAAAGAAAATCAATTTGAAAATATCAGAGTGTACCAAGCGTAGCAGGGGTGAGTATTGTTTTTGTGGGTTATTTCAAATATATATCCCTTAATGTAAATTCCTGGAATCCAGATGTGTTTAGGCATTCAGAATTTCCACTATTTTAGAAAGGACACGGGGTGCATATGGTATATTCCTGACCATTCCCAGCAGAGGCTGGACTGCTCCCTGTAATCACACCCACACATGTTTCAACAGTGAAACAAGCAAATATTCACATTAAATGTAAAAAATAATGGTAGGTCTACAAAGAACTCAAGTCAGTACAGAGCAGGATTACTCCTGAAGTCAGCTGCCACCAAAACGTGTGGTTTGCAGGGATCTGGGAATTATGGAATTGCAGATAAGGAACTGGGGACCAGTATGTATTTGTGTGTGCACTGAGGCATGATGTAAAATTGTTTCTTGCCGTGCACACACAAGAGACCTCATTCTTTTTTTTGGGGGGATGGAGTCTTGCTCTCTCACCCAGGCTGGAGTGCAGTGGTGCGATCTTGGCTCACTGCAAGCTCTGCCTCCTGGGTTCATGCCATTCTCCTGCCTCAGCCTCCTGAGTAGCTGGGACTACAGGCGCCTGCCACCAGGCCTGGTAATTTTTTTTGTATTTTTAGTAGAGACAGGGTTTCATCGTGTTAGACAGGATCGTCTCGATCTCCTGACCTTGTGATCTGCCCGCCTCGGCCTCCCAAATGTTGGGATTACAGGCGTGAGCCACAGTGCCCGGCCACCTCATTCTTAATTCACAGATGAAGAAAGTAAAATCCAGACAGCGAGAGTCACCGCCCAAAACCATCAAGCAGGAAGCTCAGGATTTGACTCCAAGGCCAATGTTTCTTTGACATTCTCCTTAAACTCCTTAACATTAAAACTCCTTATGTTTTGAAAATGCCTGTGGTCTCTGCATTCTCCCTTATAGCTTACCTGTGGGGCTATTTAAAGTTTAAAAATAATGTCTCAAACTCCACAGCATTGAGTACAACTACCATGCAAAGGAGATTCCTCCTGCTGGTCTTGGGCACTCTCAGATGGGCAGTGGAGGGGGTTCTTCGACGGGGCATGGGGGCGGGACCCTCAGCACTGATCCTTGAGGCACCTCCATGTTGCCTCTGTCCTCTGCAGGCTGGTCTCAGGGTACACGGCTCTCCACTGTCACCTCTGGACCCAGCTGGGCCTGTTATTAAACCACAGATCATCTTGTTTTGGGGGGAGAGTTTTTCCTCAGTCCCCCAGCCCAGCCCTTCGTAAGGATTCCGGGGTCGGCTGAGTGCTCTCGGCTTCTAATCTTCCCTGCCCTCCCCTCGTCTTGGACAGGACTCAGCACAGCCCAGTTTGCTGTCCAGGGCGGCTCCTGAGCAGAGCTGACTTGGTTGCCGTGGCAACTCTGTAAGGGGAGGAAGCCCTCCTGAGGAAATGGGGCTTAGGGAAATGAACGCAATGCTGACTTGGCTGGGCGAGCGATTGTCTTGTTTTTTCTTTTTCCTTCTTCACCAAAAGGAGGAAGGAAACCCAGGTTTGGATGGAAGGAACCTCTGGCACTAAATCTGTGTATTTCTTGATGTGGTGGGGCTGGTGGATATAAAAGCAAAATTAAAACAAAAACCAGCCCTGAAACATTCCTGGACAGGCAATACCTACGAGGCCTTTAGAACAGCTGTAACCCCCTGAAACTGCAAGCTATGGGAAACTCAACTGGGGTCATATCAGATGGGTACTTCTGTTAGATACAAACAAAACTTAAAGCCAGCTGACAGAGGGCCATGCTGAGATGTGGATACTGGGAGGTCACAGAAGAAACAAGAACTCCAGGCAGCAGGTTCACATGACAGACACAGAAGGAGTTGCTGAAACCACCTGTAGGGACAGGGGGAGGGGATGGGCCCACAGGATCCTGACAAACAGGAAGTGGCCAATTCAGCTAAGACCAGTGAGATCCAACTCGGCGCTGGGTCTGACCCACGTTTTGCCTCACACTCAATCATACCCTCCTTGTCTCACTAAACCCCACACCCACCCGCACCACAGCCGTTCCATGTATGCCCATGTTTGGTACAAAACTGCATTGCCCTCCCAATTCCAAGAAATCCCCACCTCTTCCCAGAAATCCTTATGCTTACTCCACACCTTAATTTAATAAACCAGCAAAGACAAGAACCCCAAACTCCACTGGGCCCGACTGGCTCTTCTGAGTCCGCCTGCACTCCCACCCCTGAGCCTGCACTTCTGTTTTGCACTAAAAGCTGATTTGCTTTTGCTTTGACTTTTTTCTCTCTTCAGCATCAAAAACCTGGGCAAGGCTAAGTTCCGGTCTCACCTGTATTCGGAGACCTCCCTAAACTCACACTGGCACCAACGTGACCAGGGATTTTCCAACAAGGTAAACCCAAACAGGCAGTTTTGTAAGTGCAACCAATCAAATAATGTCCTTACTGCAGTTTCATATTCACCCGATAAACCTTGTCTCCGACACTTTTTCACCATAGCACGAAGCCTCCTCCAGTTTGCTGTTTCCCAATTCAGCAATCCTTTCTTACTCAATTAACTCTTTAAAATTCTATTGGGCCTCAGATTTTTCTTTGACCGGGGGTATTTTAGATGACTGAACTCAGCCCCTGCCTGAGGCAGTCATCCCTGGTAAGCAGGTGCTTGTGATGGGCAGGGCAGGGCGGGTGCCCTAACACAGCTGGGGGGGGACGGGGTGGCTTCCACCTGGAATCAACAGGGGACCAGTAGAGGGGATGGGAACCAGCCCTTAGGGAGGCCCTATTGTGTGGCAGGCACTGGCCAGGCCAGGTAGCCGTGTTATATTTGATCCTCAAGACAACATGGGGAAATATTATTCTCATGGTACAGGAGAAGGGAGGTAAGGAGCGCCAGGTCACACAGAGGGGATGTGGCAAAGGACAGACCGGGGTCCAGTTAAGCTGGAAGCTGAATCAGGCCCGATACATTCCCACAGGGCCACTCAGAGCAAAGGGGCTAGGGCAGGGCAAGAGCTGGAGGGAGGGGACCAGCCTCAGGTGGAAACACCCCAGGGTCAGCTTGGAGCAGAGCGGGAGGTGACAGGTCGGGGCTGCTGGTCAACCTCCTCTCCCAGCCCTCCTCTCCTCCTGGACCCTGCTCTCCCCACACTCCCCCCCCCCCCCGCTGATTCCACTTCCCCAAGGATGTCCTGCCCCACTTGAGTCATTTGCTAGGTGCCAGGGTAGGGAGGAAGTGGGCACCTGGGCCGTGTCACCCTAAGGAGAGGTCAGGATGCAGATGACCCCCAGACCCCTGGGTCGGGGGACTCCACGTGACCTCTTCTGCTGCTTTGGGCAGACTCATTGGCCTCCTAGTCCATCCGGGTTCTTCTGGGGCTCACTCAGCTGTGGAGGTGCCACCCTCCATTCTAAGTGCGAGTAGGAACCAGCAGGGAAGAGGAGGTGAGCCTACCTGGGTCCATGGTGCCAGCAGCCCAGTCACCGAGGGGCTTACTTTGAGGATCTCCAGTATCTGTCCCACTTGGAACGTTTTGTTGCACCCTTGAGGAGGAGAAAACAAATTGTGGGATCAAATGTGAGCCACCAGTGGACAGAGGGAGGCTTGCTTGAGCAGCCGGGGCTCTGCAAATCTCTCTGGGGTGGAAGCAAACACCAAGACCAACCTAAACCAGATTGTTTGTCTATCACTGAGCCCCCATCATCTGCTATTTGCAGACACTCACCTCGCTCCAGCTTCCTCTGCCCTCACTCCCACACCAAGGAAAAGTGCACTCATCCTGTTGGGGTATGAGGAGAAGATAATCAGAGGACGGGCAGCCATCTGATCATTACAGAAACTACAGAGTCTATACACAGAAATAGAGATGGGGAGGAAGGTTCTGACAATGACCAGGGCCTGGGAGCATGTGTGATAACTAGCTGGTGATAGCCAGTGTGTATTGCATGTCTGCGATGTGCAGAGCCTCTTACATG
Organism: Homo sapiens; assembly: GCF_000001405.40. Taxonomy (NCBI): domain Eukaryota; kingdom Metazoa; phylum Chordata; class Mammalia; order Primates; family Hominidae; genus Homo; species Homo sapiens. Next base: position 36,256,886 of record NC_000022.11, on the reverse strand, counting down.
TGTCTCATTCGATGATCACACACAGGCCAGGAGATGGGTACCACTTTCCCATTCAAACACAGAGGAATCCACAAAAGTTAGGGAACTTGCCAGTGTTTTTACAATAGTGCTAGAGCCAGGACTTCTGCTTCAACCCCATGTTTTCAATGACTGTGCTCTACTCCCTTAAATATACAATATTGAGTCATGTATACACGCTCATGGTAAATGACTCCTCATTGCAAATCCTTGTCTCACACTCTGTGCTCAACTCTTCATCTTGGTGAATTCACTGGTGCTGCACTGGACAGCCTGTGTCCCCGTTGCTTCTCTAAGATTCTTTGTCCCACAAAGACCTGGATCTTGCCAGATGCCAGCCCAGCCCCTGCTGTGGCTGCCAAGCCCTCCTGGTGCTGCCCTGTCCCCTCTGCTGTCTTTCCCTAGCTGATGGACCTCAGGGTGTTTCTAATTCCTCATATAAATTATGCTACAAAGAACATCCTTCTTCGCATAAAACTTTGCCCACATTTGAGATTATTTCCTTAAGATATTTGTAGGAGTAGAATGAGCAGGTCAGAGGCTATCAACAACTCAAAAGGCTTTATACCTAGAGCCACACTGCAGGCAAATTGTACCAATTCACACTCAAACTAGCAGTATATGAAGATGCCCTTTCTTTCAGTCTTACTGGCTCTCAGTAGTCTCTTGTTTAAGACAAAAAAAAACCAAAACATATACACAACATATAAATATGAGAACTAAATATACTTGTTATCAACACCAATTAGTACAAAATTTAAAGCACAAAGGTAGCAGTTGGGATGTGAAGCACTGAACGAAGGAGAAGGAGGATTAATATTATCATTTTTTTAAAGAGGGAAGTTAAGAAATACTGGGTACAACTGAGGGTATATGAAAGTTGTAAGTAAATTATTTACAGCTACAAAGTTGCTAATGGAAGACATAAAACTGGTGATAGAATGTTAGGAAAAGGTGGAGAGGAGAGATAGAGGGAGGGTACAAATAAGATGAAAATGACTAATAATGATACTATAAATAATAACAATACCATTTCAGGCCCATCCCAGTTAGGGGCGGCTCCAAGCATTACCATTGTTCTTTTCTCACCGTGTGTCTCTGCGCACTCCCTGGCACACCCACTTCCAGCAGCTGGTCTTTGTTTGCAGACTTTATTTTAACAGCTCAGTGGTTCCCGGGCCCCCTGATGGGGTTCCATCCTCCAGCTCTCATACTAAAGCCCCCTCCTCAAAAGCCACTCGCCTCCCTCTTTCCCTTTCCTGCCTTTGTCTCAGGGTTCAGACACACAGATGTTTGTCTTCTGGGGACTCCATGCAGCAAGGGTAAAAGGGGGACCCAGTCCTGGGCAGCAGTTCACCAGGGGAGTATGCAGAGGGGCGTCTGGGCCCTTCTTGCTGTAAGGGACAAGGGTGACAGGAGAGGGGCATCCCTTCGCCTTCTTCCTGCTTTGTTCACTGTGTGATCCCCTAGGCCAGGGGAGCCATCTCAACACCATCTCATGAGCCATGAGGACACAGGAGGACCAGGAGAGAGCAGAGGAGCAGGAGGGTAGAGAGAGCTGGTGCCTCGGATTCCCCCGACACTTGTGAGGAGCTGCACCCTGGATCCCATCCTCCTTGGTCATTGTTGGCCTGGCTCAGACCCTGACCTGGAGCCTCTGCTGAATATTGAGGCCGGATATTGACCGTTAGCCTCAACTAGGATACAGCGGGTCCTCCCTGGGCGAGTCTGCCGGTTGGTCAATTCCGGGAAGTGACTTTGGTTCCTAGAAGAAGCCCAGATGGCCCTGGCCCAGCCCAAGCCCAGTCCAATTGTGCAGCCCAGACAGGGAGCCCTCCCTCCCGCCTCAGGGCTCTGAGCCAAGCTCACCAGATGCAGAGGACAGAGACTCTCAGCAAAGCAGCTCCCTCCATGTCGCTGCAGGGCCTCCTCCTTGAGCAGGAAAAGAGGGGTTGAGACAGTGTGCTCCTCCTGAGAAATCACCATTTTCATTTCATTTTTTTTTTGAAATGGAGTCTCGCTCTATCACCCAGGCTGGAGTGCAGTGGGGCGATCTAGGCTCGCTACAAGCTCTGCCTCCCGGGTTCACGCCATTCTCCTGCCTCAGCCTCCCGAGTAGCTGGGACTACAGGTGCCCGCCACGACACCCGGCTAATTTTTTTGTATTTTTAGTAGAGACAGGGTTTCACCATGTTAGCCAGGATGGTCTCGATATCCTGACCTCGTGACCACCTGTCTTGGCCTCCCAAAGTGCTGGGATTACAGGCGTGAGCCACCGCGCCCGGCCTTTCGTTTAGTTTTTAATAAACAGTTTTGCTCTGTCACCCAGGCTGCAGGGCTTTGACACCATCCTAGCTCATTGCAGCCTAGATCTGTTGGGCTCAAGTGATCCGCCTCCTTCAACCTTCTGAGTAGCTGGGACTACAGGTACACACTACCATGCTGGGCTAATTTGTTAATTTTTGATTTCATAGAGACAGCATCTCCTGTGTTTCCCAGGCTGTCTTGAACTCCTGGCCTCAAGTCATCCTCCCGCCTCTGCCTCCCACAGCACTGGGGTTACAGGCTTCATCATCTCTTTTTGGTGAAGAACAAATAAGACCATGACTCAGATTTCACAGAAATTACCCCCCTGATTTCATGGACTTTTGGCAGCTCTATCAGGTTTTTTACAGGGGAAAATACTCAGGCTGGGAGGGGAGGTGAATTTCCCAGAGTCACACAGCTCTTGGAGGGCAGAGGGGAGGCCAACATCTGCCCTTGTGACTCTAATATTGAAGCAAAAATGTTTGATTTTAATAATCCAAAAGTTTCCAGGTTTGATTCTCCTTCTATGAACACAGAGATCTAAGCTCTCACTCCTGTAGTTATACTCACAATTCCACAGTGTGGCTTTTGAATCTCATGATTGCAAAGCTGGCATCATGCCACAGGCACCATTCTGCAACGCACCCTTCTCACTCCCCTGTCTCAGCCACGTTTCCCATTAGGGACACAGCACAGCCTGTTTCTTCTCCATCACCCCAGAAGTCTGAACAGAGGGACAGAGGTGAGGGCCAGAGACGTGGAGTCCTATGATCTACCTGCTCAGCCTCCTGACACGGGACCCTGGGCAAGTCATTCCGCTCCCAGGGCCTCAGTTTCCCCACAGGGCCTGGCACAAGTTGGTGCTCAGACTCAGGGTGGGTGAGATGACCTCTGAACTCCTTGTACCTGAAAAAAAATTCTGTTGCCCCCATTGGGCCTCAGCAGCAGCACCCTGGGGCCAGCCTTGGTGTGGCCTGGCCATAAGAACAGGCTGGGATCTGGGTCACCTCCTCTCCTCCACCTTCTTTGGTTCCTTCAAATTTCCCAAAGAGATGGGCACCCCCAACACAAACCTTCCTTCTGGGTTCACTCAGTCGTGTCTCAGCAGTCAAAACCAGGGCTGAGCCCAGGGAGCTTTGTGAACCCATCTGAGCTGTTTCCCCAACCCTCTATAGTTTAAGAGCCCAGCAGGAGAGGGGAAGCAATCAGACTCAAGCCTGGGTGCAAATCCAGGCTTTGCCGCTACTTTCCTGTCTATCTGAACCAGTCACCTAACCTCTCCCAGCTTATCTACAAAAGCTGTGAGAATAAGATGGAGGCAGGTCAACTGTCCCCAACTTACCAAGGAATCTTCCCCTGGCAGAGACTGAGCAAGATCCAGCTGTTCTGAGCTGTGTGGATCCCACCTCCAGTTATGCGTCTGTATAATAACCAGACAGGTCCTCCAGTCCCCAAGATATACCGAGGAATTCGAAAGGGAAAGTGAAAGTCACAACTTCCCAGCAGCTCATGACCAAGCACAGCAAACACGCTCCCCTCCACCTTCAGTCCAGCCCCACCCTCCTTGCTGCTGCCCTTAGAGGAGCAGCCTGAGACCAGACATCCAGATCCCTCTCATCCAACCCACCTGCCTCGCATCCTCAGGGCTGGGGGTCTGCTGTGGTCTCAAGGAGAAAGACCTGCCACTGACATACTATGGGACCCTGCAGATTACTCCCCATCCTCCCGTGCATCCACATTCCCCTGATGCCTGCCTTACTCCTGCCCGTGCCATCGGCATAAGCACAGTCTCCCACACATGCCTTGTGGATGCTTATTGTATATTTATTGTAATGCCGTTGGGGTTATTTTGGTTATGTTTTTGAGACAGGGTCTCAGTCTGTCACCAAGACTGAATTGCAGTGCCACAGTCATCGCGCACAGCAGCTTCAAACCCCTGGGCTTAAGCCATCCCCCCACCTCAGCCTCCTGAGTAGCTGGTTCTACAGGTATCAGCCAACCACCCAGCTAATTTTTAAAAAAATTATATTAGAGATGGTGCCTCACTATATTGACTGGGCTACTCTTGAACTCCAGGCCTCAAGTGATCCTCCCACCTTGGCATGAGCCACCGCACCAGGCCTGCTCTTGTTGAAGGCCATGCCTTGTGGCTTCTAGATATTTGCTTATATGGGGTCTTCTGCCGGGAGCACCTGCTTCCACCGCCTGGAAAAATCATGCTCATCGTTCAGTGACAAAATCAGGCATTGCCTCCTTTCAGAGATCCCCCAGCATCCTCCCCAGCAGAGGCCACTGCCCCGTGTTCCACTCCCGAGGCACACAGGGTGGAGGGACTAGAGACCACTGCTCAGCCACACTTCCATGACTAGGAAGTCATGCAACCAGATTGCTATTGGACTTTTGTGCTTTGCCCCAGGCAGAAGGGCCTCAAAGGCAGCTAAACCACAGAAGCCAACCTGACCCTTCCATGGGGGCCTATTTCATCCTGAGCAAACATCTCTGGGGGCATCGTGTCCACCTCACCCCACCCATACACACACACACACCAGCTTATGAGGCAGGAAGAGAATGGTGATTACACAGGGACTGCACAATACACTTTGCAATACATTCCATTTGCAAATGCTTCTCCATTTGATTGAGTTTTATAATCATCCCCTCAATGGGCCAGGATTATGATCTGATTTTGCAGATGAGGAAACTGAGGCAAGAAGAGAGGACGTTGCTTTCATCCAGCAACTCAGGGAGGAGGCAAGACTTGTAAACCAAAGAGGGTCTGGGACACGTCTCAGTCAGTTTAGATGTTTACTCTGCCAAGGTTGAGGATGCACCCAGGAAAAAGTCACACAAGTCACAGGAGGTTCTGGGGTCCACTCGTTTTTCACAGAGGGTTTTGAGGCCTCCAGTATTTAAATGTGTAAAATCAGGCAGGAGTGGAAGGAGGAAAGGAAAAAAGACAGGATAGGTAATGAGGTGAGTGGTCACATTCTTGTGAAGCTTTGATTAGCCCTCCTTGAATCCACAGGTTGTCTATGAAAGGAGGGGGTAGAGGAACAGTCAATTATTCATTCGTCTCATGCACAGTTCGTCTACATTTTATATAAGATAAAAATGAACATAGAGTAGAGGAAGCAGGCATATGTGCATTTTTCTGAGGGTGGGCAGAAGTCTTGTTATTTATCATGTACCAGTAAAGATAAGTTGCTAATTTGCATTGTCACAATGAAATTACACAAAGTCTGCCTCAGGGTAAAAACTGCTGGGACCCACAAGGAGTTTCCTTGTGAGCAATTTGTGAAGGAGGCTACCTGGGGAACATGTTGCCTTTTGTCTTCGCAAATATCTGCTTAGAAGCAAAAACAAAGGCAGGTTTTGGAGTGACTCCGTTTCTAAGCTTAACTGTTTCCAGTGAGTTTTGGGGTCCCAAGATTTGATTTTCCTTTCACGTTTTCTCCTTGTTCTTCAACAACTTTTTTTTTTTTTTTTTTTTTGACAGATTCTTGCTCTGTTGCCAGGCTGGAGTGCAGTGTTGTGATCTCGGCTCACTGCAACCTCCACCTCCCGGGTTCAAGTGATTCTCCTGCCTCAGCCTCCCAAGTAGCTGGGACTACAGGCACGCACCACCAAGCCCAGCTAATTTTTGTATTTTTAGTACAGACAGCGTTTCACCATCTTGGCCAGCATGGTCTCGATCTCTTGGCGTTGTGATCTGCCTGCCTCGGCCTCCGAAAGCGCTGGGATTACAGGCGTGAGCCACTGCGCCTGGCCGTTCTTCAACATCTTTTGGACAAAACACTGTAGAAGCAAATGAGTCTCTGGTCACGAGTTTGGTCTGAATTCTATTGTAGCAGGACGAGCTGCAGACAAAACCTCTCAGACACCGAGTAGTAGAAGGAAGGGCTTTATTCAGCTGGGAGCATCGGCAAGCTACTGCCTTAAAATCCGAGCTCCCTGAGTGCACAATTTCTGTCCCTTTTAAGGGCTCACAACACTAAAGATTTCACACGAAAGGGTCATGATTGATTTGAGCAAGCAGGCGGTACGTGACAGGGGCTGCATACACAGGTCGTCAGGGGGGAACAGAACAGGGCAGGGAGTTTCACAATGTTCTTCTACATAATGTAAGGAATCTATGAATAACATCGGCTTCTGAATCATAAGTTGATTTTTAACTAATGGGTTTAGGCCAGGCGGGCCCAGGCCTGGTTTCGGGCCTGGCGCCGGGCTGCCTGTCTTTGGTTTTACTTCCTTGTTGTTTTTTCTTAAAACAGGTACTGAGTACAAAACAATATAAAAATAATATGAGAGGGTCTTTCTCTTCCTTCACTATAACACAGTTTTCAAGCTTCAGTTTGCAGGACTTTAAGAAAAGCACAGTTTGGATTTCTGGTGATTCCAAGTCAGAAAAATGAGAGAAAAAGAAAAGCAAAATATTAGTTTGGAGACTTGTGGCCAGGAAAGAATTCAGTATGTAGTCCAGATAAACTGTGGACAAACAATACGGCTAGAAAACAATGGAGAAAGCTAGAATCCAATAACAGGCATTCTCTAGTTTCTTTTGAAACATACCTTTTCTCTCTCTAGTCCTGTATTTCTACCAAAGACAAATCATAGTAGGGCTAATTTATTTGCAACAGAAGTTTTAGTCTGATGGTTCTTGGCCTGATCATTTGTATAAAGTGCAGCAAGAATACTTATTTGGCATATGGGCTCCTTTTGGAAATTGACTTTGCTACAATATTTTCTTTTTCATAAGATATCTCAGAGTAGGCCTTTTAAAATCTCAAGCTCAGCCAGTGATTTATATTTGCCTGCAGATGCCTATATATATTAGGTGAGTTCCTTTCTCCTCAAGGTCCCAAGGTAACTTGGGCTTCCTGGGCCTGTCAGAAAGTGACATTCTTTACTTACCACAGGACAGGAACCCTGTAAAGGAACTGTATAGGCAAAGTTTGAGGAAAATTTTTCAAAGAGGCTTTCATCGGCTCTATAAGCCAGCCACCATTACTCAAAGCAGCCTACGTACATGTGGAAATATGCCATGCCAGTCAAAGCCTTGGTAAAATAACCAGTGTCTCTAGTTGTGTCCTGTTATGAAAGAAAACAGATTCCAACTGAACTTATGCAAATAACTCTATTGCCATGAACTAAGAATACTCACAAATAGTTTCCAAATTCTGGAGAAATCAGATAGTGAGAAAGAAATATGCTTCAAATTTTGCTCACAAGAGTATACTTTATTCAATTGTTAAAAGCTACATGGAGCCCAAAGGGAAAAAGAAGTTTTCTTGACTAAGAAAAACAAAACAAAAGAATCAGTCGTATATTAAACAAAAAGTCATTAAAAATTTATTTTTGTTCTCCATTAATTCATTCCCATGTAATAACCTTCTTCCACTTGATATTGGGTTAGCAATCTTCATGACCACATCAACTTTTGAATTACAGTCCTGGAAGATTTATTTTTTTCTTAGTCCGATGGCACAATCTGTAGCTGATCATAAACTGTTTTTTGAGATGTAAAGTAAACACTTTTTGCAGATAACAAAAGTATGAGAACAGCATTGGTAAAGACACATTCGACAAGGAAATTACTTTATTTCTGTGGCAAACAACTACTTAACATAATAATAATAATAGTTTCTGATAACATATGCCAAGACATATTAGACCTATAGAATCTCGTACAATTTTGGAACACATATTAATAACACATTTATATAAACATAATCCAAAGAATGTTAAACACCGTTTTATATTTGTCATGCTGGACCCCTATGCTAATGAGCTGACAGGACACAGACTTGGAGAGACAGAAGAAAAGACCTGGAGACAGCAGGTGAGACATAAGCTTTATTCAGGGAGCTTATGTACAGGTTGCCCAGGAGCAGCAGGCAAGACAAGAAATCCCCTCCTGTTTGTCAAATGCATGCAGGTTATATGATATTCTTCCCAGAGCAACCTCCACTTAGCACCTCTGCCAGGAAACCTCCACCTAGCCCAAAACAAAAGGTCTTGATTCCTTGCACAACCTCTGATCCAAGGAACAGAGTTCTTCATAAGTATGATGTAAACATCTGGATTGGCCATTCCCGGGATCCATACCTTGGAACACTGAGCAAAAATTCACCAAGGAATGTAGGGTTATTCTTAGGGGATGCTTCAGTTATTGCTGTCTGACGGGACATGCCCACCATGCTCTCCACACCCCTGCATAGCCTTGAATGGCCCTCACAATCTCATCACACTGTTTTTCTGTGATTTTCCTGGGGCCAGTTTTGTGGAAGAGCATTGCAGCCAGACACCCCAGCAGCAACACTAACCTCAACAAAGGATTATGAACGCAATTGCAATTACGCTAGATACAAAGTTTCTCCACGTGTCTGGGAGTTGATTAAACCATGAGGTGATAAGATCATAAGACAAAGACTCTGTGGCTGGACTCTGGGTATCTAACGTCAGCAGAGCCTGTGTTATGTTATGAGAGTAATGAGGGCTATATACACAACATTTTGTTTTAATTAATGCACAAGCTCCACCATGGGCAGCAGTTGTATGATTTTGGGTCATACGATTTTGCAGAGGAACATGCCTGATCTGGGTGGTTTCTTGATTGGGAAGTGTAAAACGATGGTGAGTATCATTGAAGGCTGCAGCTGTGTGTTTAGCCAGCACACGAATTGCAGCTCTGCATTTACAGTTGCCACTTTGGAGGCAAAGATGGCCAAGGGGTAGAACCACCAGTATGCACATATCTGGTAATCTCTAGCTTTTACCGTTTTCCAGTTACTGGGGGTCGTGTCTAAATGGGGAACTATATACTGTGGCAATTAAGGATGCCCTGAGATGCATCTGCCAGTCCAGTTGAATGGCAAATAAGGCCAAGGGTGGGTGACACAGGCCCACAGCCATCTCCATCTCCATGGGGATTGGTAGGCACCCATATGCAGAGACTTATTCTACCAACCCAGCCATGTATCATTGCTTAACCCAAGGGCTTGGTGACATTGTTGTACAGGTAGTCACCCCATATTGTGGGGTTAGCCGGTGATGTGCTGTCATTGTGTCTACCAATACACAGTTGCACAACTGACTACCTGTATTTGTACTATGGTTGTTCTGTCTGCTGTTATAGCTAAGGTGCAAGTTTACCCATGCCCCACTGCACCAAAGCAATTGCAAACCTTCCCCGGCCTCTGGGAATAGAATCTTCACTGCACTACAATTGCGCAGTGAAGAATTAACTTTATCCCAGGAGAGGTCTTCCCATTGTCCCCTACCCCTGCGAAGTGATCTCCAGGCCCCTGGAATGCCCTGCCTGGTAGGAATGTCTTTGTTTCCCTGGTGGTTTGGCTACAGGACAGTATAGCAAATGTGATGGATGATGGGGGTTTGGGGCTATTGGGTATCTCTTCTCACCACCAGAGGATCTGGGGACTAAAGGTGTGAGACCTCAGGGAGGGGCTGGAAACTCCAGGTCAGCCATGAGTGCAGCCTGTGGTCAAGCCCCAGCAAACACTCTGGACACTAAGGCATGGGTTGAGAAAGACTTTCTGTTTGACCAGACTCCAGTTGGGCTCTTCTGAGCCTCTTCTCCTCTAGGCACCAACCTTGGCCTTCCATGCCCATCCCGTGCTTGCTGGGCCTGCACAACCCTGGCTCAGCAAGAATCCCCCCGAGTCAGTTTAGGGAGGGTCCTCCCTTCTTACTGTCTGAGCACACTTGCTATCTGATCACTCTCCTCACCTGCCCCTTGATGGGTGAGTGTCTGACCTGCCTTTAGGGAAAATCCTGTTAGGCCAGTTTAGCATGAACCCCCGACTCTGGTGCCTCCTGTCAGTCCTGTTCCATCTGCTGCCCCTCACTCTGGTGTTGGCTGTGACTCCCCCTCTGTCTTTACTGTATTGGGAGCTGGGCTCAGTCTCCCTCCCCTGTAACAACAATCCTGAATAAAGGCTTTCTTCCTGATTTAATGTGATTCACAGGAATTTTTCCTTAACTGGGTGAGCTTCCCTGGTTGGCAACACCCCATGTGTTTTGTCCCACATTGACACAGGAGAACGCAGCCTCCTGAGGACAACGAAGCTTCACACCTGAAACCCTCCTAGACTCTGCCCTGTGTGTCTTCCTTAGGCTGATTTTAACCTGTGTTTTTTCCCTGTGATAAACCACAGTCATGCAATAACAGTTTTCAGTGAGTTACGTGAATTCCTCTAGTGAATTATAAAATCTAAGGACGGATTTAGGAATCCCCTTAAATTTGCAGTTAGTGTCAAAGATAAGGGTGCCCTCAGACATTGCAGTTTTGGTAACTCTGAGTACTCAGAATTCAAACAAAACCAAAAACAGACCTACACAAGATCACTTTGCCTGGCATCTGCTCTCTTCCAATGCCTCATGCCCTTTGACCTTCTGACTGATGGTCACTGGTTCCAAGCACCGCACCAGTTGACTGGAGGAGGAGACCTGGCTATTAGTTTTGGAGAGTCCACATGGATTCTCCAGCCACCTTACTGCCTCCTGACCTACCACCTGCACCTCCAACCTTCCAGGTCTCACTTTCAGATGTCACCAGCCTAATCGATGCCTAAGGAGTGATGGCTTCACCTCTGTGCTTGCCAAGGCCATGTGCAATTTTATGGAGCCTCTAGAAGACTCAAGACACTTTCAGAACCATCTATATAAATTGCTAATGCTGAAAAGACCTGAATTTGGACAAGATGGTAGACGAAGTGTTTTCCTCTTTGGTTGGCAACTTATGGGTTTCCTCAGAACCCCTGAAATTACAAAAATTGGCAGCCACCCATTCTGACTCCGGAAGTGGTCACTAAGCCACACTGCTTTCCCAGGGTCAGGGGCTACTCTATGTAGAACACAAGAGGGTCCCAAAGGGCACGCAAAAACTCCACAGTTCTCACAGTTCTCAGGCTTGGTGTGGGGGAAACCGTCACTCACGGCCCACTATGCCAATCACTGATGGGATCAAATCAGGGAGGGAAGAAATATCCCTCTCCCACTCATGTGTCCTCTGCAAGTCAATGACCTCCTTACGTTTGGTGTCCTTGGTGCCTCCCTCCTCTCACCCTAGTCCTGGCCCTGGTGTCCCAGCCTTCCTACTTACCTTCCAATTAGGCCCACTTATGCCCATCCTGACCCCTGGTTCTGCCCCTGGTCCAGGTCTATCTGGACTTTTCGGCAGGATCATGGTACTTGGTCCCCCACCTTTGACCTGGAGTTCACTCTAAGGCCTTCACCATCCTCCTATATGATTGAATTACTATTCCCATTGGACAGATGCCAGACGCCAGATGCCAGTCTCCAAGGCATAATCCTAGAGGCCCACAGCTGTGCAGGGACAGAAGCCAGGATCCATCCCAGCTCTGATCAACTTCACTCCAGCCTCTCCATGTCCTGGGCCAGCAGAAGGGTTCTGCTGTGTTTGTGCAATTCCTCAGATGGGGAGGAAATAGGCCTGGGCCAGAATCGCCAGGAACACACATTGATTTGGTCAGGATTTTTCTGACTTGTCCCAAAGGAAGTGCTTCTTGGCTTTCATCTCCAAGAAGGAGAACTTTGGCCCTGGTCTCTTCCCACCAAGCTTTTTAAAAGTTAATGTTAGAAGTCTGAGGAAGATGGCAGATAGGAGACAGGGCTAACATGCAGCTCCCACTTGGAAGGACCGGACAGCATGTGGAGACCCACATCATGTAATAATGTGTGCCAAGAACCACCACAGGAATGTACCAGGAAAACTGAAAGAATTCACAGATCCTTTGAAAGAAGTGGCATGCTCCTTGCCAATTCTATGAGACAGGCAAAAAACTGGGAGTTCCCAAAGTGTGAGGGAGGGAAAATCTGCCTCCAAACACACATCGCCCCTGGGGAATCTGAAAATCCAGATTACAGGAGAGGGATTTAACCTTACCCATAGCTGAAATGGATTCAGAGAACCATGCAAAATGTAAAAGTAGAAGCAGAAGTGGGAAGAATCCTGTAGGCATTCCCAGTGTCCAGCTCAAGCCCAGGGCACCATCCCTGGCGGTATCTCACAGAGGCCTTTGGGGAAAGCAGCCAGCAGAATTTGGGAGGGGTCACAGGGTGAAAGAAGCTTCCAGATGGATTTTCTAATAATTTCTACTGGGCTTGAATTTTCTTGAGCAGAATCCAGGGGGAGAACAGGAACTTCTGCAAATATGAGCCCAGGAGCCACCACTGACACTGTGGGCAGATGGGGAGAGGCAAGGCCTGAAAGCCATGCTTGCTTTCTCAGTGGAGAAGCTTATGGCCTGGGACAAGGTCTGAGTTCTGCGCACAGGCTGCCTGAATCTAAACTTGGCATTGTTAGTGGGGCACTGCGGGAGCAAGGCCAGCCTTGCCAACTGCATGTGATCTGGGTGAGGCCTCTCGCTGCCAGCTATCCCCCACTTCCCTGGCGAACTATATGGCACAGCAGAGGCAGCCATAATCCCCTCTGTAACAAACCCCATTGGCCTTAGGACAATCTGCATCCCTCACAGTGGCCGCAGCAAGCCCTGCTTAAGGAAAGTCTGAGCTCAGACCCAGCTAACCCTGCCCTCCACCTGATGGTATTTCTCTACTTATCCTGGTAGCTGAACACAAAAGACATAAACTCGTGGGAGCTTTATGGCCCTGCCAATCACCTGAGAAACTAGAATACTTACCCTGGTCAACCTAGGGCAAGCTTGTATCTCCCTTCTACTACCGCAGCTGGTGCTCTCTTGAAAGTGCCACTTCCTGGCTGGAGACCAACCAACTCAGGCCATTACAGCAACTCATGACAGAATAACCCTATTCCCAGGAAGGAGAAGACAAGAGCTAATACCACTGCCCGCAACATCCTGACTGACCAGAGGTCCTCAGTCTCTCCACATGACAGCTTCACTGCTAGCATAACCAGCATTGGAGAAAACAGCACACTAAAGAGAACTACAACCAATGACTCTCACGGAGTCTACTTCACTCGCCTGTCACCTACACCAGAGTAGGTGCTGGTATCCATGGCTAGGAGACCAGAAGATGATCACATCACAGGACTCTTTGCAGACATTCCCCAGCACCAACCCAAAGGCTGGTATAGCCCCAGTGGGTGGCTATACCCAGAAGAGCAATAACAATCACTGCAGTCTGGCTCTCAGGAAGCCCTATTCCTAGGAGAAGGAGAGTACCACATCAAGGAATAACCCGTGGGACAAAAGAACCTGAACAGAAGGAGTTGAGTTTCAGATCTTTCCACTGAAATAGTCTACCCAAATGAGAAGGAACCGGAAAAGTAATTCTGGTAATATGACAAAACATATTTCTATAACACCCCCCAAAGCTATTGCTAGCTCCCCAGCAATAGATACAAGCCAACAAAAAATCTCTGAATTGCCATATAAAGAATTTAGAAGGTTGATTATTAAGCTATTCAAGGAGATAGCAGAGGAAGGTGAAAACCAACTTAAAGAAATTTTAAAAAATACAGAATATGGATGAAAATTCTCCAGAGAAATAGATATCACAAAGAAAAAACAATCACAGCTTCTGGAAATGAAAGACACACTGAAAGAAATACAAAAGGCACTGGAAAGTTTCAACAATAGACTAGAACAAGTAGAAGAAAGAACTTCAGAGCTTGAAGACACAGCTTTCAAATTAACCCAATCAGACAAAGACAAAGAAAAAAGAATTTTAAAAAATGAGCAAAGCCTCCAAGAAATTTGAGATTATGTTAAATGGCCAAATTTAAGAATAATTGGTGTTGCTGAGGATGAAGAGAAATCTAAAAGTTTGGAAAACTTATTTGAGGGAATAATTGAGGAAAACTTCCTTGGCCTTGCTAGAGATCTAGATATCCAGATACAAGAAGTTCAAAGAACATCTGGGAAATTCATCACAAAATGATCCTCACCTAGGCACATGTCATCAGGGTATCTAAAGTCAAGAAGAAGGAAATAATCTTAAGAGCTGTGAGACAAAAGCATAAGGTAACCTGTAAAGGAAAATCTATGAGATTAACAGCTAATTTATCAGCAGAAACCATACAAGCCAGAAGGGACTGGAGTCCTGTTGTTAGCCTCCTTAAACAAAATAATTGTTAGTCAAGAATTTTGTATCCAGCAAAACCAAGCTTCATAAATGAAGGAGAGATAAAGTCTTTTTCAGACAAACAAATGCTGAAAGAATTCGCCACTACCAAGCCAGTACTACAAGAAATGCTAAACGGAGTTCTAAGTCTTGAAACAAAACCTCGAAATACACCAAAATAGAACCTCCTTACAGCATATTGTTTTATAAGCCTTAGGGCCTATAAAACAATAACACAATGAAAAAAATAAGGTATTTAGGCAACAACTTGCCTGATGAATAGAACAGCACTTTATATCTCAATACTAACATTGAATGAAAATGGGCTAAATGGTTCACTTAAAAGGTACAAGGGCTGGGTGCAGTGGCTCACATCTGTAATCCCAGCACCTTGGGAGGCTAAGGCAGGCAGATCACGAGGTCAGGAGATCGAGACCATCCTGGCTAACACAGTGAAACCCCATCTCTACTAAAATACAAAAAAAAAAAAAAAAAAAAATTAGCCAGGTGTGGTGGTGGGCGCCTGTAGTCCCAGCTACTCGGGAGGCTGAGGCAGGAGAATAGCATGAACCCAGGAGGTGGAGCTTGCAGCGAGCCAAGATCGCACCACTGCACTCCAGCTTGGGTGACAGAGAGAGACTCCATCTCAAAAAAAAAAAAAAAAAAAAAAAAAAAAGGTACATAATGGCAGAATGGTACCGGTATAAAAATAGGCACATAGATCAAGGGAACAGAATAGAGAACCCAGAAATAAAGCCAAATACTTTCAGCTAACTAGTCTTTGACAAAGCAAAGAAAAACGTATAGTGCGGAAAGGACACCCTATTCAACAAATGGTGCCAGGATAATTGGCAAGCCACATGTAGAAGAATGAAACAGTATCCTCATACAAAAATCAACTCAAGATGGATCAAAGACTTAAATCTAAAACCTGAAACCATAAAAATTCTAGAAGATAACATCGGAAAAACTCCTCCAGACATTGGCTTAGGCAAAGAATTCAGGACCAAGAACCCAAAAATAAATGCAACGAAAACAAAAATAAAGAGATGGGACCTAATTAAAGTAAAAAGCTTCTGCACAGCAAAATAAATAATCAGCAGAGAAAACAGACAACCCTCAAAGTGGGAGAAAATATTTGCAAACTGTGCATTTGACAAAGGACTAATATCCAGTTTCTACAAGGAACTCAAACAAATCAGCAAGAAAAAAAAAATAATCCCATCAAAAAGTGGGCAAAGGACATGAATAGACAATTCTCAAAAGAAGATATACAAAATGAAATGGCCAAAAAAATATGAAAATGTGCTCAACGTCACTAATTATCAGAGAAATGCAAATTAAAACTGCAATAAGTTGCCACCTTACTCCTGCAAGAATGGCCATAATTTAAAAATCAAAGAAGAATAGAAGGGTGCAGTGGCTCACACCTGTAATCCCAGCACTTTGGGAGGCCAAAGCAGGTGGATCACTTGAGGTCAGGAGTTCAAGACCAGCCTAGCTAAAATGGTGTGAATATGGTGACAAGGGAAAACTTTTACACTGGTGGTGGGAATGTAAACTAGTACAACCACTATGGAAAACAGTATGGCAACTCCTTAAAAAACTAAAAGTAGAATACCATTTGATCCAGTAATCCCACTACCGGGTATCTACCCAGAGGAGAAAAGTTATTATATAAAAAAGATACTCGCACATGCATGTTTATAGCTGCATAATTTGCAACCGAAAAAATATGGAACCAACCTAAATGCTCATCAGCCAACAAGTGGATGAAGAAAATGTGTGTGTATATACACACACACACACACACACACACACCCCTATATATGTATATGCCATGGAATATTACTCAGCTGTAAAAAGGAAGGGAATAATGGCATCCGTAACAATCTGGATGAAGTTGGACACCATTATTCTGAGTGAAGTAACTCAGGAATGGAAAACCAAATATTGTATGTTCTCATTTATTAGTAGGAGCTAAGCTATGAAGACACAAAGTCACAAGAAGGATACAATGGGCTGGGCGCCGTGGCTCACACCTGTAATCCCAGCACTTTGGGAGGCCAAGGCAGGTGGATCACTTGAGGTCAGGAGTTCAAGACCAGCCTGGCCAAGATGGTGAAACCCCATCTCTACTAAAATTACAAAAAATTAGCTGGGTGTAGTGGCAGGCACCTGTAATCCCAGCTACTCGGAAGCTGAGATGGGAGGATGGCTTGATTGTGCCACTTGAAGTAGCTATGATTGTGCCACTGCTCTCCAGCCTGGGCTACAGAGCAAGACTCTATATCAAAAACATAACAGAAAACATAACCTCAGAAGCATTACAATAAATATGCAATAAGCATCCACCCAGCATGTGTGGGGGACTGTGCTGATGCTGATGGCATGTGTGGGAGTAAGGCAGGCATCTGAGGAATGTGGGGGAACGGAAGGACGGGGAGTAATCTGGAGAGCCCCACGGTCAGTCAGTGGCAGGTCTTTCTTGAGCTCAGAAAGGTTAGGTAACTAGTTCAGATCAGACAGTAAAACAGGGGCAGAGCCTGGAATTGCACTGAGGCTTGAGTCTGACTTCTCTCCCCCACCTGCTGTGCCCTTAAACTGCAGAGATCGGGGCGGGGGTTGGGGGGCAAGCGGCTCAGATGGGTTCAAAAAACTCCCCAGGCTCAACTCTGGTTCTGACTGCCTGAGACATGGGCAGCTGACACAGCAGACCTTGAATCCTGAGGATGTGAGGCAGGTGGGTTGGATGAGAGGGACCCGGATGTCTGGTCTGCGGCTGCTCCTCTAAGTGCAGCAGCAAGGAGGCTGGGCCTGGACTGCAGGTGGTGCTGGGGAGCAGCGTGTTTACTGTGCTTGGTCATGAGCTGCTGGGAAGTTGTGACTTTCACTTTCCCTTTCGAATTCCAGGGTATATCTGGGAGGCCGGAGGACGTGTCTGGTTATTACACAGATGCACAGCTGGACGTGGGATCCACACAGCTCAGAACAGTTGGATCTTGCTCAGTCTCTGTCAGAGGAAGATCCCTTGGTAAGTTGGGGATAGTGTGATCTACCCCCATGTCCTTATTCTTGCAATAGCTCTATAAGGGAAGGATCATTCAGCTTTTGTAGATAAGCTCAGAGAGGTTAGGTAGCTGGTTCAGATCAGACAGGAAAGCAGTGGCAGAGCCGGGATTTGCACCCAGGCTTGAGTCTGATTGCTCCCTCCCTCCTGCTGGGCGGGTAAACTGTAGAGAGAGGTGGGGAAAACAGCTTAGATGGGTTCACAAAGCTCCCCGGGCTCAGCTCTGGTTCTGACACCCTCAGACACGGCCAGCTGACCCCAGAAGAAAGGTAGGTGTTGGGGGTGCCCATCTCTTTGGGAAATTTGAAGGAATCAAAGAAGGTGGAGGAGGGGAGGTGACCTGGAGCCCGGCATGTCCTTGTGGCCGGGCCACACCCAGGCTGGCCCCAGGGTGCTGCTGCTGAAGCCCAATGGGAACAACAGATTTCTTTTGAGACACAAGGAACTCAGAGGTTGTCTCACTCACCCTGAGTCTGAGCACCTACTTGTGCCAGGCCCTGTGGGGAAACTGAGGCCCTGGGAGGGGAATGACTTGCCAGGGTCCCGTGTCAGGAGGCTGAGCAGGCAGATCATAGGACTTCACGTCTCTGGCCCTCACCTCTGTCCCTCTGTTCAGACCTCTGAGCTGATAGAGAAGAAACAGGCTGTGCTGTGTCCCTAATGGGAAACATGGCTGAGACAGGGGAGTGAGAAGGTCGCATTGCAGAATGGTACCTGTGGCATGATGCCAGCTTTGCAATCATGAGATTCAAAAGCCACACTGTGGAATTGTGAGTATAACTACAGGAGTGAGAGCTTAGGTCTCTGTGTTTGTAGAAGCAGAATCAAACCTGGACACTGTTGGATTATTAAAATCACCCATTTTTGCTTCAATATCAGAGTCACAAGGGCAGATGTTGGCCTCCCCTCTGCCCTCCAAGAGCTGTGTGACTCTGGGCAAGTCACCTCCCCTCCCAGCCTAAGATTTTTCCCCTCTAAAAAACTTGATAGAGCTGCCAAAAGTCCATGAAATCAGGGGGGTAATTTCTGTGAAATATGAGTCATGGTCTTATTTGTTCTTCACCAAAAAGAGATGCCCATCAAGATAGAAAGAAAAATTAAATTCAATTTCTCAACTGAAAGTGAAACTGAAGCTGGGCCATGTCATCCAGAGGCTGGTTGCTTTTAGTTCAAGTAATGCCTCCTGCACCTGGGATTTCAGCCAGGCTGTGCCAGGGAGGGCGGAGGGCATCCAGGTCAGTCGTAGGGGGTGCAGCTGGGAACACAACAGTGTCCCCATTGAATGTTCAGAGTCTAAAGGGGAGACAGAGGCCCAAAGAGCCACATACAGGTAGAGCTCCCTCTGGAAAGCAGAGTGCTCAGGGAGCCTGGGGAGGGTTGGGGGCCGCCGCATGGACCAGGCAGCTTTGGGTGGGTCTCTGAGGACAGGTGACTTGCACATGGTGGGGACAGTGGGGGGGACATTCCAGGGCGAGGGAGCAGCTGAGTGAAGGCCTGAGGCTGGGGATGGGAGTGGGAGGAGTAGATGGGCTCCAGGAGGCACCGAAGCAGGGCGTCAGTGGGTGCCTGGACCTAAGGTGACTGTGGTGGCAGGGAGCGGTGAGGAAGGTGGGGTCCAGAGCATCAGAGGGCCTGTGTGCCCTGCTATGGGGTTTGAACTTGACCGTGGCTTTTCACTGAAGATTCCTCAGAAGGGTGCAGTGCCACGGCTGAGGCCTGTAATTCAGTGCTGTGGGAGGCAGAGGCGGGAGAATCACATGATGCTAGGAGCTCAAGACAGCTTGGGCAACACAGGAGATGCTGTCTCTCTGAAATGAAAAATTAACAAATTAGTCCTGCATGGTGCCGTGTGCCTGTAGTCCCAGCTACCTGGAAGGCTGAGGCAGAAGGATCACTTGAGCCCAGGGGCTCTAGGCTACAGCAAGCTGTGATAGCCCCAAAGCACTCCAGACTGGGTGACAGAGCAAGACAGTTTCTCAAAAATAAAATGAAAATGACGATTTCTCAGGAAATCATTTCGACTCCTCTTTCCCTGCCCAAGGAGGATGCCCCACAACCACTTGGAGGGAGATGCTTTGCTGAGAGTCCCTGTCCTCTGCATCTGGAGAGCTTGGCTCAGAGCTGAGGTGGGAGGGAGGGCTCCTCTTCCAGGTCGCTCAGTTGGACACCGGAATTGACCAGCCTGCAGGCTCACCCATGGAGTACACACTGTGTCCTAGTCAAGCCTGAGGGGCAGTATCCAGCCTCAACCCCCAGCAGAGGCTCCAGACAAAGGTGGGAGCCAGGCCAACAATGACCCAGGAGGATGGGATCCTGGATGCAGCTCCTCACAAGTATTGGGCAGGTCCGAGGCCCCAGCTCTGTCTGCCCTCCTGCTCCTCTTCTCCCTCCTGGTCCTCCTGGTTCTCATGGCTCATGAGATGGCGTTGAGACAGCTCCCCTGGCCTAGGGTGTCACAGAGTGAACAAAGCAGGAAGAAGGGGAAGGGAAGACCCCCTCCCGTCACCCCGTCCCTTACAGCAAGAAGTGTCCAGATGCCCCTCTGCATACTCCCCTGGTGAACTGCTGCCCAGGACTGGGTCCCCCTTTTAGTCTTGCTGCGTAGGGGCCCCAGAAGACAGATATCTGGATGCCTCGACCCTGAAACAGAGGTGGGAAGTGGAAAGAGGGAGGCGAGTGGCTTTTGAGGAGGGGGCTTTTGTATAAGAGCTGGAGGATGCCCGGGAACCACTGAGCTGTTAAAATAAAGTCTGCAAACAAAGACCAGCTGCTGGAAGTGGGTGTGCCGGGGAGTGCGCAGAGACACAAGGTGAGAAAAGAACAATGGTGATTTTGGAGCCGCCCCTAACTGGGATGGGCCTGAATCGGTATTATCATTATTACTTATAGTGTCATTATTAGTCATTTTCATCTTGTTTGTACACTCCCTCTATCTCTCCTCTCCACCTTTTCCTAATATTGTATCACCAGTTTTATGTCCTCCATTAGCAACTTTGTAGCTGTAAACAATTTACTTACAACTTTCTTTCTTATACTCTCAGTTTTACCTAGTATTTCTTGACTCCCCTCTTTAAAAGATGACAATATTAATCCTCCTTCTCCTTCGTTCAGTGCTTCACATCCCAACTGCTACCTTTGTGCTTTAAGTTTGTACTAATCGGTAACAAGTATATTTAGTTCTCATATTTATATGCTCTGTTCTGTTCTCAAAGTTAAAAATCAATCAAGAGTGTTTACATTTTGTGATGTTTTAAATACTATTTACTGTGGAGCTGAGTTGTACACCATGTTTGCACATGTTTTGTGGCACAGCTTTACTTTTTCCTGATGTTTCTAATTGCCTTTGTTTTTTTTCCTCCCTTGTACTGCTTGCCTTCTTCATTTCCTCAGTTTCTCTCAAACTGTGAATCCTTTGAGGTATTCTATTGAGTCCCTTTTTCCCACAGAACCATTCCCTTTTTATTCCATCCTGGACTGGTCGTTTTGTAGGCCTACTGCATGTCCCACTGTGATCCTCAGATTCCCTTCTCTCTGGGTTGATTTTCCTGTTTTCTGGATCCCATGTCTTTTTCTTTCTTGGTTATCCCCACCTGCCCTCCATGGATGCACAACACATACACACACACACACACACACACACACACACACCCACCCACCCACCCTTTCTTCCTCCCGGTGGCTCATTCTCAAGTAGCTTTCTTAGAACACCCTGTGACCCTGTGCCTGGTAACTTTTCTATTCCCCATATAGCTCCTTTTCCTCTGTCATCTTTTTGGTTTATTTTCTGGAGGATTTCCGTGACTTTCTTTCACATGGTCTCTCTAGACTTGTTTATTTGATCATCACCTTTTAGTTTCTAGAAAATCTCTTTTTTTGTTTGTTTCATTGATTTTTCTTCTTTTCTATATATCTTGTTTTAAGTTTATGAATAAAATATTTTTTAATCTCCCTGAGGACATGGGTTTGAGATTTAAAAAATTACTTGTTTGTTCTGGACTCCTTTTGTATTTGGTCATCTTGGTCTGTTTCCCCACTTTCACCTTTCTCCAATTTCTGATCCTAGATCTATTCATATTGAACGGGGTGGGGGGCAGGTCTACTGGCAGTCTTCCCTGTAGGGTGATTGAATGGGAACCCACTGAAGTGTCAGAATACAAAGATATTATTTCTGGGGCATATTGCTTCAGTCATGAACTCTCTGATTTTTTTCACTGGTGTAGACTCAAGGCTGGCATGAATCCCATATGGCACGTGGGCCTGGTGAACTCCTCCCCTCTCTGAGGCTCTGCCTAGTAGACCACTCTGCCTGGCTGGATGCCCTCTTGGCATTGCTGTGGTTCACAGCTCCCTTCACCCCTCTTTATTCAGTTGTCATTTCTTCAGCCAGTTCTGTTTTCCAACATCTCTTGGCATCTCTGATCTCCTGTTGCCCTCATTTAAATTTTCATTGGCAGCAGAGGGTGCAGAGGCAGTGCGTGAGTTCTTGAGTCCGTCTGTCTGGGTGGGAACCCAGTCTTTACCACGTAGTAGATTCTGAGCTTGGGCAAGTCACTGAACATCTGTTTCAGTTTTCTTACCTGAAAATGGAAATACCAATGGTACACACTTCCTAGGTTCTTGGAAGAGTTCTGTGAGTTACTATTTATAACATCTTAGAGCAATTAGTGGTGCAAAATCCACCAATGTTTGCCCACATTAACATTAAGTGCCATTATACCTGTAAGTGCCTTGACTATGGCTGTAGTTTGATCTCAGGAGGGGAGGTTGATAAATGCTCTTCTGTCTTCTTAAAACAGTGCCTAAAGATGATTAATATGATTAACATTTGCTATTTTCCCTCACCTCCCAGGGTAAGATAATCAGGAGCAGAATGTGAAGAACTTTCCTCTATATAAAGATCAGCATTTATTCAGGCCGGGTGTCGTGGCTCATGTTTGTAATCCAGCACTTTAGAGGGCAGGGTGGGAGGATCCCCTAAGGCCAGGATTTTGCCAGCAGCCTGGGCTGCATACTAGGAGTGAGACCTTGTCTCAAGGAATAATGTTTTGTTTTGTTTTGTTTTCCTGAAGAAAAGACTACTGAGAGCCAGTAAGACTGAAAGAATGGACATCTTCATATCCTGTTAGTTTGAGTGTGAATTTGTACAGTTTTCATACAGAGTGGCTCTAGGTATAAAAACTTTTGAGATGTTAATAGCTTTTGACCTAGTCATTCTACTCTTAAAAGTATCTTAAGGAAATAATCTCAAATGTGAGCAGTTTTACGTGAGGGAGGATATTCTTTGTAGCATAATTTATATGAAGAATTAGAAACACCCTAAGGTCCATCAGCTAGGGGAGGACAGCAGAGGGGACGGGGAAGCATCAGGAGGGCTCGGCAGCCACAGCAGGGGCTGGGCCGGCATCTAGCAGGATCCAGGTCTTTGTGGGACAAAGAATCTTAGAGAAGCAACGGGGACACAGGCTGTCCACTGCAGCACCAGTGAGTTCACCAAGACGAAGAGTTGAGCACAGAGTGTGAGACAGGGATTTGCAATGAGGAGTCATTTACCATGAGCGTGTATACATGACTCAATATTGTATATTTAAGGGAGTAGAGCACAGTAATTGAAGACATGGGATTGAAGCAGAAGTCCTGGCTCTAGCACTATTGTGAAAACACCCATAAGTTCCCTAACTTTTGTGGATTCCTCTGTGTTCAAATGGGAAAGTGGTACCCATCTCCTGTCCTGTGTGTGATCATCGAATGAGATACATGTCAGAGGCCATGCACATCACAGACACACAATACACACTGGCTATCATCAACTAGTTATCATACATGTTCCCAGGCCCAGGTCATTGTCAGAATGTTCCCTCCCATCTCTATTCCTGTGTATAGACTCTGTAGTTTCTGTAATGATCAGATGGCTGCCCCTCCTCTGATTATCTTCTTCTCATACCCCTACAGGACAAGAGGACCCTGCCTTGGTGTGAGAGTGAGGGAAGAGGAAGCTGGAACGAGGTGAGTTTCTGTAAATACTAGCTGGCAGGGCCCCAGGAGATAAACACTCTGGACATTTGCTGCTACCACAGAGGGATCTGCAAAGACCCAGCCCCTCCAGCCTCCCTCTGTACACAGGAGGCTCACCTTCGATCCCACAATTTGTTTTCTCGTTCTCAAGGGTTAAGGAAAACCTTCCAGTCTGGACAGTGACTGGAGAGCTCCAAGGAAAGCCCCTCGGTAACCCAGCCGCTGGCACCATGAACCCAGGTAGGCTCGCTTCCTCTTTCCTGGCTAGTTCCTACTCGCACCTAGAATGGAGGGTGGCACCTCCACAGCTGAGTGAGCCCCAGAAGAACCCAGATGGACTAGGAGGCCAATGAGTCTGCCCCGAGCAGCAGAAGAGGTCACGTGGAGTCCCCCGACCCAGGGGTCTGGGGGTCATCTGCATCCTGACCTCTCCTCGGGGTGACACGGCCCAGGTGCCCACTTCCTCCCTACCCTGTCACCCAGCAGATGACTCAAGTGGGGCAGGACAGCCATGAGGAAGTGGAACAAGCAAGAGAGGGGAGTGGGGGAAGAGCAGGGTCCAGGAGGAGGGGAGGGGTGGGAGAGGAGGTTGACCTGCAGCCCTGATCTCTTATCTACCGCTCTTCTCCCTGCTGACCCAGGGTTTTTTCCAGCACAGGCCGGTCCCCTCCCTCCAGCTCTTGCCCTGCACCAGCCCCTCTGTTCTGAGTGGCCCTATGGGAATGTATCATGCTTGACCCAGCTTCCAACTTAAATGGACCCCGGTCTGGCCTTTTCCAAGTCCCTTCTGTGTGACCTGGAGCTCCTTACCTCCCCTCTCGTGTACCATGAAAATAATATTTCCCCATGTTGTCACGAAGATTAAATATTATAAGGGTACCTGGCCTGGCCAAAGCCTGCCACACAGTAGGGCCTCCCTAAGAATTAGTTTGCATCCCCTCTATCTCCTCTATCTATCCCCTGTTGATTCCAGGTGGAAGCCACCCAGTCCCCTCATCTGTGTTAGGGCACCCGCCCTGCACTGCCCATCACAAGCACCTGCTGACCAGGGATGACTGCCTCAGGCAGGGCCTCATTCCCATGATCTCAGATACCCCTTGTCAAAGAAAAATCTGAGGCACAGTAACATTTATTTGAATAAGAAGGAATTCATGAATTGAGAAAACCAAACTGGAAGAGGCTTCATGTTATGATGAAAAAGTGTCAGAGACAAGTATTTATCGAGTAAATATGAAACTGCAATAAGGACATTATTTGATTGGTTGCAGTTACAAAACTGCCTGTTTTGATTTACCTTTTTGGAAAATTCCTGGTCACATTGGTGCTGGTGGGTTTAGGAAGTTCTCCGAATCCAGGAGAGACCAGACCTTAGCCTTGTCCAGGTTTTTGACTCCACTGAGAGAAAAAATTTGAGTCAAAGAAAAAACAAATCAGCTGCAAAGCAGAAGCACAGGCTCAGGGATGGAAGTGCAGGTGGACTCAGAAGAGCCAGTTGGGCCCAGTGGGGTTTGGGGTTTCTGTCTTTGATGGTTTATTAAATTAAGGGGTTGGAGCCTTGGGAGGACTCTCTTGCTGGCTTGCGGCAGCTGCCTTTGCGCTGTGTGCTTACCTGGCCTTATTGTTTCTCTTTCTCTTCTTACAATAGGACACTAGCCCTCTAGTAGGATTAGAGCCCTACCCTTGTGATCTCATTCAGTCTTAATTGCTTCCTTAAAGGCCCAATCTTCAAATATAGTCACTCGAGTTTAGGGCTTCAGCATATGAATTTTGGGGGCACACAATCCCTCTATAGCACTGATGACTCCATCAAACATGTCCCACATCACAGTTGTCCAGGAAAAATTAACATGTAACCACCTAATGTGCAATGGCTGTTATGCTCCCCTACACTATCCTCCAACCTTATCCTTTCTTCTTTCCAACTAGAGAGCAGTATCTTTATTGAGGATTACCTTAAGTATTTCCAGGACCAAGTGAGCAGAGAGAATCTGCTACAACTGCTGACTGATGATGAAGCCTGGAATGGATTCGTGGCTGCTGCTGAACTGCCCAGGTAAGCTCCATGGGGTTAACTCCATGGGGCGCCCCAGCGATGCCACTCAGATCTCCCCTGGGCTGGTTGTCCCTGACAGGCACACCTCCTCCAGGCAGCCCCCTCTGCTGGGCTTGAGGATGACCTTCTCGGCACTCCAGGAGGAATATTTCCTCCATGTCCTTCGCTGGCAGTGAGTAGCCTCAGGCTGAGGGGATAGGAAGCCCACAGGAACAGGGTCATTTCTGCCATCTGCTGGTGATGGGAACTTTGCCAGTTACTTTCTCACTTTCAGCCTTTCTTCATCAATGGAGTTTTATTATGAGAAAAATGAGATCATGCATGTAAAGTGCTTAGCATAATGACTGACACATAGTAGGTGCACAGTTAACGTTAACATCTTACAAGCTTGGTGGAAAGAGACCAGGGTTAAGGATCTTCTTCTTGAAGATGGGAGCCCAGCAGGACTTCCTTTGGGAAAAGTCAGAAAAATCCTAACCTAAACAATATGTGTTCCTGGGGATGCTGGCTGGGGCCTTTTTTCTCATCTGAAGAATTCCACAAACACAGCAGGACCCTTCTGCTGGTCCAGGATCCTGAGAGGCCTAGTTCCTGGGCTCTGGGCTTATGTCATGGAGACTTGGAACTGTCTTCTGTCCAATAGGAATAGCAATTCAATGTCATAGGAGTGTGGTGAAGGCCTTAGAGGCAACTCCAGGTCAAAGGTGGGGAACCAAGGACTAAGATCCTGCTCAAAGGCCCAGAGAGACCGGGACCAGTGTCAGAGCCTGGAGTCAGGATGGAGTAAGAGTCAGCCTTGGTTTGGTAGGACAAGCAGGAAGGCTGGGGCACCAGGGCTGGGACTAGGGTGTGGAAAGAGAGGCACCAAGGGCTTGAAACTTAAGGAGGTCATGAACTTGCAGAGGACATGTGAGTGGGAGAGGGATATTTCTTCCCTGTCTGGATGATCCCAACACTCATGGGCATACAGGGTCATGGTAGCCTGTGTCTCTCACCCCATGCCTTGGAACTGGTGAGTTCTGGACTACCCTTTCAGACCTTCTTCTCTTCTACACAGAGAAGCTCCTTACCATGGCATGCCTTAGTGACCATTTCCAAAGTAGAATGAGTTGCTGCCAATTTGTGTAATTTCAGGGGTACTGAGCAGACTCACAAAGTCCCAACCGAGGAGGAAAACACTTCCTCTACCATCTTGACCAAATTCAGGTCTTTTCAGCATTAGCAATTTATATAGATGGTTCTGAAAGTGTCTTGAGTCTTCTAGTGGTTCCATAAAATTGCACATGGCCTTGCTGTGCACACAGGTGAAGCTGTCACTGCTAAGGCATCAGTTAGGCTGGTGACACCTGCGAGTGAGACCTGGAAGGTTGGGGGTGCAGGTGGTAGGTCAGGAGGCAGTAAGGTGGCTGGAGCGTCCATGTGGAGCCAGAATGAATAGCCAGATCTCCCACTCCAGTCAGCTGGGGCAGTGGCCGCACCCAGTAGCCTTCAGCCAGGTGAAAGGGCATGAGGCATTGGAAGGGAGCAGATGCCAGGCAAAGTGATCTCCTGTCTTTCTGAGGTTTTGTTTTTGTTTGAATTCAAAGTACTCAGAGATAGCCAGACTGCAATGTCTGAGGGCACCCTTACCTTTGACACCACCTGCAAATCTATGGGGATTCCTAAAATCATCCTTAGATTTTATAATTCACTAGAAGGACTCACGTAACTCACTGAAAACTGCTATTGCACGATTGTGGTTTATCACAGGGAAAGAACACAGATTAAAATCAGCCTAAGGAAGAGACACACAGGGCAGAGTCTGGGAGGATTTCAGGTGTGAATCTTCATTGTCCTCAGGAGGCTGTGTTCTCCTGTGTGAATGTGGGACAAAACACATGCGGTGTTGCCAACCAGGGAAGCTCACCCAGTTAAGGAAAAATTCCTGTGAATCACATTAAACCAGAAATGAAGCCTTTATTCAGGATTGTTGTTACAGGGGAGGGAGACTGAGCCCAGCTCCAAATATAGTAAAGACAGAGGGGGAGTCACAGCCAACACCAGGGTGGGGGCGGGAGATGGAACAGGACTGACAGGAGACGCCAGAGTGGGGGGTTCCTGCTAAACTGGCCTAACAGGATTCTCGCCAAAGGCAGGTCAGACCCTCAACCACCAGTGGTGGGGGTGAGGAGCATGATCAGATAACAAACGGTGCTCAGACAGCAAGCGGGGAGGACCCTCCCTAAACTGATTTGGGGAGATTCTTGCTGAGCCAAGGTGGTGCAAGTCCAGAAAGCAGTGGGTGAGTGTGGAAGGCCAAGGTCGGCGCCTAGTGGAGAAGAAGCTCTGAAGAGCCCAGCTGGAGTTGGTCAAGGAGAAAGTCCTTCTTTCTCAACCCATGCCTTAGTGTCCAGAGTATCTGCTGGGGCTGGATCACAAGCTGCCCTCATGGCTAGAGTCTCCAGCCCTTCCCTGAGATCTCACACCTTTAGTCCCCAAGTCCTCTGGAAGTCAGGAAAGACACCAAATAGCCCCAAACCCTATCATCCATCACATCGCTATACTGTCCCGTGGCCAAATCACCAGGCAAAGAAAGATGTTCCTACCAGGCAGGACATTCCAGGGGCCTGGAGATCACTTCCCAGGAGCTGAGGACAAAGGGAAGGCCTCTCTTTGGGTAAAGTTCATGCTTCACTTTCCTGCCATCCTGGTAATAAGGTCTCTTTGTCTCACTCTCACTGCTCTTTGTTCATCTGCAGAGTTTTCCCTCTCCAAACACTTTGGCAGTCACGGTGTTGACCTGCCCTTGAGTGAGGAGGCATCTTTATCAAACACCTACCATGAAAGAGCATCTGAGGTGCCTTTAAGATATTTATTTCCATATGGAATAAGTACTGAGGAATATCTATGATGAACAAAATGTGTTTGAGTTTGAAAGATAATTAATTCCATTTGTAAAATTTGTTTCTATTTGATTGATAGTGAAAGCTCTGCAATTTACACAGGATAGAGATCGCATGGAGCTCATTTCACAGATAGGGAAACTGCATTTCTTAATCCTTTAACCTTTCCTTGTGCAGGGATGAGGCAGATGAGCTCCGTAAAGCTCTGAACAAGCTTGCAAGTCACATGGTCATGAAGGACAAAAACCGCCACGATAAAGACCAGCAGCACAGGCAGTGGTTTTTGAAAGAGTTTCCTCGGTTGAAAAGGGAGCTTGAGGATCACATAAGGAAGCTCCGTGCCCTTGCAGAGGAGGTTGAGCAGGTCCACAGAGGCACCACCATTGCCAATGTGGTGTCCAACTCTGTTGGCACTACCTCTGGCATCCTGACCCTCCTCGGCCTGGGTCTGGCACCCTTCACAGAAGGAATCAGTTTTGTGCTCTTGGACACTGGCATGGGTCTGGGAGCAGCAGCTGCTGTGGCTGGGATTACCTGCAGTGTGGTAGAACTAGTAAACAAATTGCGGGCACGAGCCCAAGCCCGCAACTTGGACCAAAGCGGCACCAATGTAGCAAAGGTGATGAAGGAGTTTGTGGGTGGGAACACACCCAATGTTCTTACCTTAGTTGACAATTGGTACCAAGTCACACAAGGGATTGGGAGGAACATCCGTGCCATCAGACGAGCCAGAGCCAACCCTCAGTTAGGAGCGTATGCCCCACCCCCGCATGTCATTGGGCGAATCTCAGCTGAAGGCGGTGAACAGGTTGAGAGGGTTGTTGAAGGCCCCGCCCAGGCAATGAGCAGAGGAACCATGATCGTGGGTGCAGCCACTGGAGGCATCTTGCTTCTGCTGGATGTGGTCAGCCTTGCATATGAGTCAAAGCACTTGCTTGAGGGGGCAAAGTCAGAGTCAGCTGAGGAGCTGAAGAAGCGGGCTCAGGAGCTGGAGGGGAAGCTCAACTTTCTCACCAAGATCCATGAGATGCTGCAGCCAGGCCAAGACCAATGACCCCAGAGCAGTGCAGCCACCAGGGCAGAAATGCCGGGCACAGGCCAGGACAAAATGCAGACTTTTTTTTTTTTTTTTTTTTTTTTTTGAGATGGAGTCTCGCTCTATCGCCCAGGATGGAGTGCAGTGGCTCAATCTCGGCTCACTGCAAACTCCGCCTCCCGGGTTCACACCATTCTCCGGCCTCAGTCTCCCGAGTAGCTGGGACTACAGGCACCTGCCACCACGCCCGGCTAATTTTTTTGTATTTTCACTGGAGACGGGGTTTCACTGTGTTAGCCACGATGGTCTCCATCTCCTGACCTCGTGATCTGCCCACCTCGGCCTCCCAAAGTGCTGGGATTACAGGCGTGAGCCACCGCGCCTGGCCAAAATGCAGACATTTTATTAGGGGGATAAGGAGGGCAAGGTAAAGCTTATGGAACTGAGTGTTAGTGACTTTGGCATTTGTGTAGCTGAGCACAGCAAGGGAGGGGTTAATGCAGATGGCAAGTGCACCAAGGAGAAGGCAGGAACACTGGAGCCTGCAATAAGGGAGGAGAGAGGACTGGAGAGTGTGGGGAATGGGAAGAAGTAGTTTACTTTGGACTAAAGAATATATTGGGCGAAGAATAGAGGGGGAGCTTGCAGGAACCAGCAATGAGAAGGCCAGGAAAAGAAAGAGCTGAAAATGGAGAAAACCAGAGTTAGAACTGTTGGATACAGGAGAAGAAACAGCAGCTCCACTACCGACCCCCCCCCAGGTTTGATGTCCTTCCAAGAATAAAGTCTTTCCCTGGTGATGGTCTCTCGCTCTGTCTTTCCAGCATCCACTCTCCCTTGTCCTTCTGGGGGTGTATCACAGTCAGCCAGTGGCTTCTTCATGATGGTGGTTGGGGTGGTTGTCATGTGACGGGTCCCCTCCAGGTTACTAAAGGGTGCATGTCCCCTGCTTGAACCCTGAGAGGCAGGTGGTAGGCCATGGCCACAATCCCCAGCTGAGGAGCAGGTGTCCCTGAGAACCCAAACTTCCCAGAGAGTATCTGAGAACCAACCAATGAAAACAGTCCCATCGCTCTTAGCCGGTAAGTAAACAGTCAGAAGATTAGCATGAAAGCAGTTTAGCATTGGGAGGAAGCACAGATCTCTAGAGCTGTCCTGTCGCTGCCCAGGATTGACCTGTGTGTAAGTCCCAATAAACTCACCTACTCACCAAGCTGGACTTGTTCGAGTCATTCTTTGGTCTCTCAGCTCCTTCTAAGCTTTGGGGGCCATCAGTCTCAAGTTTTTCTCGTAATGGTGGTGATGGTGGTTGTGATGGCAGCAGAGTGGTGGGGGCCTTGGCAAGTGGTCGGTGCTCTTCCAGACCAGGGGACACCGATGGACCGATGAAGTTCCAGGGGAACTTGAAGTGCTGTGTTGGAAAGAGGTTAATTTGGGAAGAAAGGAAAAATGAAAGGAGATGCCAGGAACAGGTCAAGGAAGCTTGAGGTGTGTCCAGGAGTTCAACCCTGCTTGTGGTCATGAGACTTCACCCCTCTGAGCCTCAGTTTCCTCATCAGCTGTAGAAGGGGGCTGGAAAAGGTGATATCTCAGGTCCACCTTGCTCTCCCCATCTTGTGTTCTGGAGACTTGAGTCAATCAGCACTGACTGATGGCTGTGACTTTGTGGTGCCGATGGAGGCTCCCCTGGGCTCTGGGTGCCTGACTTAACCTTCCTCATGATCCTTCTTCCAGGGTCTCAGGGAGCGAAGTTTCAAGACCCCTTCTGCTCGCTCACTGGACTCTCACTTTCCCAGCTGGTCATTTCCCTGAGACCTCAAAACCCCAAGCCCATTGGGGCACTCGGGGAAAGCTTGTACATGTCTGGCTCTGGCTGAGCACAGGTGTGGTTTCCATCTGTGAGTCAGAGCCCGGGATTGACACGGGACACTCGAGGCTAACTAGTGTCAGAGGGGCCTGTGTGCAGATTGGGAGAGGATCAGCGAAAAATAGAGGGACAAAGAGAGACATCCAGACAGCAAACACTCCCATCCAGTCTGTCCTCACGTTTTGCCCAGACTCCTGCAAGAACTTCCAGAATGGTCTTCTCTGTGCCCCTGCCCCTGTCCCTCCCATGTCCTGGACCATGCTCCACACTGGGCCAGGTTGGGCTTTAACAATATAGTTTCTTTTTTTTTTTCAGATACTCTCACTCTGTTGCAAGGCTGGCAAACCGTGGCACAATCATGGCTCACCACATCTTGGACCTCCCGGCCTCAAACTATCCTTCCACCTTGACTCCCTGAGCAATTGGGACCATCCGTGTGTACCCCAATGCCTCGTTAATTTTTGTATTTTTTTTTTTTTTTGTAGAGACAGGGTTTCCCTATCTTGCCCAGGCTGGTCTCAAACTCCTGAGCTCAGGTGATCTGTTCACCCTGGCCTTCCAATGGACTGCAATTGCAGGCATGAGCCACCATGCCCACCTAAGAACATAGGTTTGATTGAGCACCTGCTTCCAACCCTCTAATGGCTTCCCATTACTCTTAGCACAAAGATGTAGGCCATGATGCTGCCTAAAGTAGCCTGTTGTGGCCTGGGGTCCTGTGAAGGAAGAGCCAGGGGCAACGTTCTGGTGTAGAGGGTTTGTGTGGGAAGTGATTCTAGGAGCAGAACTGAGGATCCAGGAGGGAAGGAGGAAAAGTTGATACAAGGAGAAGTTTTTGAATGGGTCATCCATATGGGCAATGAGACCTTCCGAGGTGCCTTCAAGAAGCGTCCTCAGAATCTTTGTCTCCAGGGAGGAGAGAGGGAGGCCTTTATCCATGGCCTTTATCCCCATGGGCTTGCCTCAGGCTGAACTTCCAGCCAAATCTTCAGCTGTTACCTAAGAAACAATGCAGATCCTGGCCCGAGGACGCCGCCCCTTCCAGGCAGCCTGGACTGTGAGGTGTGCTCCATTGCTCTTCAGGAATCATCCTTGAGAGTTGTTCCACAGCAGTCCAGGTCTGGCTGGAGCAGGTGGATTGGGCGGAAAGTGCAGCAGAATTTGAGAGAGGCCTGTTCTTACAGTGATGACTCACTGTAAGCACCTGAATTCAGCCCTCATGGTCTTTTCACTGCTGTTAGTCATTCATCTCTATGTAGTTTTTGCAAACTAGAGGTAGATGTCTGCTTTCTACAATCAAAGATGTCAGCATTTAGGGCCCAGGGATGGAACAAAGTTGTTTCATGGGAGAGAACAGCATCCATTCTCCTCTTCCTAGTTCAGGAGGTCTGGGTTAACAATCTGCAGCTTCCAAGAATACGCACTCCAGTGATCCACCCAGGAACTGAAAACATGATGACCAGGTGAGGGGAGGTTCCTAATGGACTCACTGAAAGCTAAACTGAAATCAGGTATTCACTGATTACTTGTCCCCCTGTAATCTCCTCCTCTGACCGGAAGGCCACAGTGGCACTCTGAGTTATTATGGGTCCCAGGAGTTGGTGTCAGTGTAGCCAGGATCCAGAAGTCCTGGGGATGAGTTTCCTTTAAGCCGTCCCCTGTGATCTGAGAGGACGCTCCAGGTCCAGGGAGAACAGGTAGGAGGAACGCTTACAGGCTGCACTTAAGGGGAATGACAGGGCCTTTCGCAGACTCCTGACCTCCCTTTCCTTCAAGGGCTCTGGGTCTGTCCTATGAGTCAGGCCTGAGAATTGGGTGACAAGCAGGGGCCATCCAGCATGATGACCTGTGACAGGTGTCTGCCCACCAAGTTGGTGGTTGTGCAAAGTCAGTGGACTCTCCGCCGGCTCTATTTTGGGACCGTGTGCCTGTGGAATTTCCCTGAGCCGTGATCATGTGCACTCCCTGCTGCCTGACCTGGTGCCCACACTCTCTTTTCTTCTGGCCATGACCTGCCTCCCCAGGAGTTGGCCTCTTGGAATTTCTCCCACCCTAAAGATACCAAGGTCCCAGCCCGTCCCCCATTCCAGAGAGTTCCTGGTTATCCATTGATTCTTCTCACCAAAGGAAAGAGAAATCTCCTGGGCCCTCACAGGATGCAGTGTGGGCAGGAAGGACCTGAGAAATCCAATCTAACCTTCCAATCTCCTATGCACGTTGAGTCCTCCTTCTTCTTTGTCATACCAAGTCATTTCTGAATTTTTGGCGTCACAACGAAGTGGCCAGCATTTACTTGAGGGTGGCTCATCCAGCCCTGGGCACAGCTGGCATCCCAGCCTGCTGCTGGAGCAAACCATGCCAGCTGAGGACAACTATGGCAAGGAACCCAAATGATGTTTCCCCTTCCTTGCCGACCTTTCTCGGACTCCACCGCACAAATGGTCTCCAGCTCTTTGGAGTTTGATGGTGGGCTCCTTCTCCTGCTGCAGCGTCTCACTCCTTTCCATTCTGCAGTTCACTCTCATGCCACACTGACTTGAACACTGGCTGTCTAGAAACTCATGGGGGGCAGGGGCAACAGAGATGGAGCAGCTTCCTCCATCAGGGGCTGCACCTTGGAAGCGTCCTTAGATGTGGCTTGGAGTTGGGATTCTTCAATCCCCCTCCGACATCCCTATTGCAATTTTCTGGATATATCTTGTATTAGGCTGAATAACAGCCCCCCACGGATGTGCGCATCCGAATGCTGGAACTCGTGATTATGTCACCTTCCATCATAAAAGGCACCTTGCAAGTGTGATCCAGCCAAGGATCTGGAGATGGGAGGTTATCTGGAATTATCTGGGTTGGGCCCAAGGTATCCACAAGGGTCCTTATAAGGCAGAGGCAGTAAGGTGACAGGGAGAAAAGGAGATGTGATGATGGAAGGGGAGAGAGACTGAGAGAGATCAGAGGACACTACAAGGCTGGCTTTGAAGATGAAGGGAGGAGCCAGGAGCCAAGGCCAGCAGGTGTCTCTAAAAGCTGGAAAAGGCAATGGAATGGCTTCTCCAGGAGCCTCTAGAAGAAACACAGCCATGCCCACACCTTGATTTTAGGACTTCTGACCTCCAGAACTGGAAGAGAGCAACTTTGTGTTGGTTTAAGTGAACACAAAGAAAAAATGGATTACCAGGAACTCTCTGAAATTGGGGAGGGGCTGGGACCCTGGTCTCTTTAGGAGAAATTCTAAGAGGCCAACTCTGGGAGAGGCAGGTTATGGCCAGAAGAAAAGAGAGCGTGGGCACCAGGTCAGTGGTGCTTTGTTACAGCAGGGGAGGAACTAATACACCACTCTCCCCATCAGGGCCCTCAGCTGCACTTAGAAGATCTGGCTAGGATGAAATTTATCATGCAACCAGAAACCTACAGAATCAGTCTCTGAATTTTATTCTCATAGGAGGAGAGTCAGCCAACAACATCGACAGCCACAATTTATTTGATGCCTTCAGGAAACATTTCAAAGCCAGATGTTTGTTTGAAGTGTAGGTCCTGCTTCAGGTCCCAGCGTTCCTTGTCTCAGCCACGTTCCACCAGGTGGCAGCAGGTGCTATGCTGGTCGGCGTGGGGAGTTTCACTGTTGTTCCCCCTCCCTCTCAGCCTGAACGCTAATTCCACAAATACCAACCATCCTGAGGGTCTGTTATCTGCAACCAACTGGTTGGTATCATTTTTTTTTAAATCAGTCAAGATCCTTTGGATGCAAGCAGCACACAGCAAAGCAAAACCAAGACAAAAGCAAATGCAAGAACAAAAACAAATTAGACTTAAACATCCTCTGACCAACTGAAGAGTAGAGGTATGTATTGGAATGATCCAGAGAGAAAGGACACAGAATTAAAGATTTCAAAAAAGCAGAAACCTTTTCTCTGTGATGGACAGAAGACTCAGTTTCCCAAAGAATAAGACATCATATAGACAACATGAGGCCAACTGAATCTGTTTCTCTCTCTCATTTCTTTCTCTTTTATAGTTTGCTCAACAGGCAAACAAAACTCTTCCATCATGTTTTGATATTACACAAAAATCTTGTTCAAAAGAGAAAAACTAAATGTTACCTTTGTATTAATGGATTAGTAATGCTGAAGCTCATTTTATACAATCCTATAAACAAATCTATCAAATTTTAATTAGTTTGATCATGAGGTAAAATTTCCATAAATCTTTTATAGCTTTTAAGATTTTTCTGTTAAAGAGCAGATCAATATACCGAGTATTCCCTATTACTCTGACACAGAGGTTCAGAGGCTGGCCCAGCATCCATGTGCTATTTATGTTCATGTTCAATTTATAGAAAAACTAAATGATTTCTTTTAAATTTTAGCCAAACTTCATCACACATGGTTTCTTTTATGAGATCAATCTTCCACAAACCTACTACAATTTGCTTAAAATTTCTTTTTTGCCATATCTTTCTTTTAACTTGAAATGATCCTTAAAACCTCTAAACTAAACAAAATGATGTTTTCTTAAAAAGAACCACAGTCCCATGCCCTCTTTCAACCCTTTTATCAAAACACATCCTATCTCTTTAATACATTCATTAGTCAGAGTTCTCCAGAGTGACATGGTCAATAGAATACATGTACACACAGAAATACACATAGAAGTGAGTTTATTAGGGAGAACTGGCTCACATGATTACGAGCAGAAATCCCACAACAGGCTCTTGGCAAGCTGGGGAAAGACAGAAGCCCGTAGTGTGACTCAGTCCAAGTCTAAAAGCCTCAAAACCAGAGAAGCCGACTGCGTAGGTCTCGGTCTTAGGATGAAGCCCTGTAATCCTCCAGGAGGCCGCTGGTGCAAGTCCCAGAGTCCAAAGGCCAAAGACCAGGAAGTCTGATGTCCAAGGGCAGGAGGAGAGGAAGGAAGCATCCAGCACGGGAAGACAGAGAGAGTGATGAGCAAGCTGCTCACCCTTTTCTCTTCTGCTTGCTTTGTTCTGGCCTCACTGGCAGCTGATGGGATGGTACTGCCCACATTCAGGGTGTGTCTTCTTCTCTTAGTTCACGGACCCAAATGTCAATCTCCTTTGACAACACCCTCACAGACACGCCCAGAAACAATCCTTTACCAGCCATCTAGGCATTCCTCCGTCTAGTGATGTTCACACCTCATATTAACCATCACAATACACTTTGTGTATAGCCAGAAGGTGGTCTAGGCAGCAATAGATGTAATGTTTTAATTACATACATTAATTGTAATGTGAACTCTTGGTAACTCTTATTTTTATTGAAGAATCTAGGAGGTAAACAGTTTTAATTATGCACCAGATGCGTATCCCAGGATGAAGGGCAATGCCTGGGGTTAGTCCAAAGGCTTGATTCTCAAGACACATAGGTTTACAGATGAGATAAGCAAGCTTTAAAAGTATTACAGAAGCAAACTTTTTTATCCTAATACATCTAGCAGACAATAGTATCTGACCTGCTTGACTAATTCAGCCCAGATATCTAAATTAAGTTTTGAAGACATTTCTATTTTACCAATAATTTTTAAACTGTCTCTAGCAAAGATTATTAAAGTCACATGAAGTGAATGCTATTCAAATGAAAGTTTCTATTTTTCTGATAAAATATTGGATTTAAGTGCTTTTTTTGGCAAGCCAATTAATTAGACCCTTCTATATATTTTGATGGGGAAATATTATATACCTATAACACATATAAATACATAGACACACAGAGATGCGTACAGACCCAGATCCTGTAGATTTGTAAGATTTTTTATTTGTCACTTTTCCAAATTTTTCTCCCCCACTTTAGATTACTAATTTCTTTCTTTCTTTTTTTTTCTTTCTTTCTTTCTTTCTTTCTTTCTTTCTTTCTTTCTTTCTTTCTTTCTTTCTTTCTCTCTCTCTCTCTCTTTCTTTCTCTCTCTCTCTCTCTTTCTTTCTTTATCTCTTTCTTTCTTTCCTTCTTTCTTTTTTTTTGAGACAGAGTCTCACTCTGTCGCCCAGGCTGGAGTGCAGTGGTGCCATCTTGGCTCACTGCAGGCTCCGCCTCCTGGGTTCACACCATTCTCCTGCCTCACCCTCTGAGTAGCTGGGACTACAGGCACCTGTCACTACGCCCGGCTAATTTTTTGTATTTTTAGTAGAGACGGCATTTCACCGTGTTAGCCAGGGTGGTCTCGATCTCCTGACCTTGTGATCTGCCCACCTCTGCCTCCCAAAGTGCTGGGATTACAGGTGTGAGCCACCACGCCCAGCCCACCAATTTCTTGATAACCTGTTTTATTGCCTCAGCAATTGTCAGCCAGATGGCCCAAAGTTCGCACTCTAAAGGAACAAATCTTAGGTGACATCAGATAGAGATTTTACATCTCAAAGTAGAACTAAAACATTTGGCCTAAATATTGTATCATTTTGCTTAAACCAAGGGAAGAAAAACAACTGGAAGCGAACGCAGGTCTGGATGCTCCCCACCTGGATCATCCAATTAACAAGAGCGAGGTCTGCTAGAAAGAAAGTGTTTTTATTAACCAAAACGAGTAAAGGGGAAGTGGCTGGATTCCCTTGGAAAGCAATCACTTTTGCAATCTCTCCATATGACAAAGGTCTAATATTCAGAGTCTACAAGGAACATAAGCAAATTAGCAAGAAAAAAAAACCAAACAACTCCATTATAAAATGGGCAAAGGACATGAACAGACAGTTCTCAAAATAAGACATTCATACGGCCAACAAACATGAAAAAAAGCTCAACATCACTGACCATTAGAGAAATGCAAATCAAAACCACAATGAGATACTATTTCATGCCAGTCAGAATGGCAATCATTAAAAAGTCAAGAAACAACCGATGCTGGCGAGGTTGTGGAGAAAAAGAAACACTTTTACTTTGTTGGTGGGAGTGTAAATTAGTTCAACCATTGTGGAAGACAGGGTGGCAATTTGTCCAAGAAACCCCTTTGACCCAGCAATTCCTCTGCTGGGTATATACCCAAAGAAATATAAATCACTCTGTTGTAAAGATACATGCATATGTATGTTCACTACAGCACTATTCACAATAGCAAAGACATGGAATCAACCCAAATACTCATCAATGATAGACTGGATAAAGAAAATGTGGTACATATACCCTGTGGAATACTCTGCAGCCATAAAATGGAATGAGACCATGTCTTTTGTAGGCACATAAACGGAGCTGGAAGCTGTCATTCTCAGCAAACTAATGCAGGAACAGAAAATCAAATACCATATGTTCTCATTTATAAGTGGGAGTTGAATGATGAAAACGCAGGGACACATCAAGGGGAACAACACATACTGGGGCCTGTTGGCGCAGGGGGAGGGAGAGGATCAGGAAGAATAGCTAATGGATGCTAGGCTTAATACCTCGGTGATGGGTTGATCTGTGCAGCAAAGGACCATGGCACACATTTACCTTACATCCCGCACATGTACCCGGAACTTAAAATAACAGCTGAAGGAAAAAATGAAACTTTTCACTGGAAAAAAAAAAAAAGAAAGAAAGAAACCAGTTTGATGTTTTTGGGTAAAGGCCGGGGCTTAAAAAGGAAAGCTTGATAAGGACAGCATGCTAGAATTGTGTATGTGTGTATGTCCTGTCCCTGTGGCTCTCCTGGGTCCCAGTCCACCTGGATCTTGGGCTGGCGTCATCTCAACGATGGCTGGATTGCTAACTAGCTGCCTTGAGTACTCTCTGGAAATTTGTAGCTGGGTCTCCAGGCTTGGCCTGTGTGTCTCAAGATTAACCTATGGAACTTCTGAGAAAGCACATGATTAGACACTAGCACAAACTTAGATAAATATAGGGGGTATATATGGTGAGAAAGGGAGGGGCATGGACTCTATTTTAAGTCTAAGAAAAAAGGCTTCTGCAGTTTGCTTCAAGGTTAAATCTGGAAACCAAAGAAGAAGGAAAACCCAGTTTAAAATGCAGTTTGAAGTTAAGCTGCCTGATTACAAAACGATATAAGCAAATTTTAGTTAAGAGGTCCAGGAAAAGAACTTTAAACAGAGATATGCCTTAGGATAGAAGAGAACAGTTTTGAATTTGCCAGGAATCTGTCCACTTCCAACTCTTGAGGTCGCATGAGGAAAACAGAGGTTCCTCCCCAGCAGGGACTCTGGTGCTTTTTTCTGTTTTTCCCAA
This sequence comes from Homo sapiens, assembly GCF_000001405.40. Classification (NCBI taxonomy): domain Eukaryota; kingdom Metazoa; phylum Chordata; class Mammalia; order Primates; family Hominidae; genus Homo; species Homo sapiens. The sequence continues at coordinate 36,217,389 of NC_000022.11, read as the reverse complement.
AGGATCTCAGCTGTTAGAAACTACTGTAGGTCCTCTCTTGATTGCATGGAGGGTGGCAAGAGGAAGGAGGGAAAGACAGAAGTAAACAGAGAAACAGACAGAATTGAGGTGACTGAGACATAGAGAGAGAATAATGGCCATAACTACTCTCTCTCTCTCAATAAATAGATAGATAGATACATATATACATACACAGCCTTAATATCAGTTTCAGTGAAGTTGACTTGTGACTTTAGAGCTCTGAAAAAATCCTTTCACACCTCTTACTACCAGATGTTAGCCAGGACATACAGGTGATATTTCTGGTGTTTGAATTCTACCAAAGGCAACCTTCCTAGTGAAACCAATAAGCCTGAAGTAAGGTTGTGACTTAACCATGGGCGCCCGAGGGATCTTCCAGGAGGTGGCAGGGAGGTGTTTTTTTGTTTGTTTTTAAGATACAGAATAGCTGATCTCCTATACACAAAGATAAAAATTCCCTCTATGTCCCCCACAGAAAGAAGACAGAAATCAATAGCTATCCATGGAGGGGAGAAGGATCAGTGAAAGGCAAAATCACACAAATATCAAACCAGAATCCAGAACAGGCGGTAAAACCTGCAATAGATTTTAATGTGTGGTTTTTTAGTTTTTTATTTTTTTTATTTTCTTTGAGATGGAGTCTCTCTCTGTCACCTAGGCTGGAGTGCAATGGCGGGATTTATGCTTACCGCAATCACTGCCTCCCAGGCTCAAGCAGTTCTCCTGGTTCAGCCTCGTAAGTAGCTGGGATTACAGGCACAGGCCACCACATCCAGCTAATTTTTATATTTTTAGTAGATACGGGGTTTCACCATGTTGGCCAGGCCAGTTTTTGAACTCCTGACTTCAAATGATCTGCCCACCTTGGCCTCCCAAAGTGCTGGGATTACAGGCATGAGCCACTGCGTCCTGCAGGGATTTTAATTTTTATGTGAGATTTTTTGGAATAGATTTCTCAAAGCTAGCTGTGATACTATGTGTCCTTTTTCAATGTTGAGTTTTTCATCAGTTGTTTAGAAAATCATTTTTATCTGTTTTATGGCCATTAATGATTAGAATTTTCCCTGGTGTCCTTTATTCCAATAGACCATAAAGTACCAAATGTTCACCAGAGTTGCTAGACCAAGATGAGTCACACACAAACCTTCCCCCGCTCGCACCCCCATTAATCAAAACCTTGCAGATGAGGCCAACAGTGATTTTTACCATCTGTTCACCTGTAGTACACAGAGAGAGGCCAGGAGCCTGGCTGGTAGAAAATTCCTACCCTTTAGCTGGCAGATCAGGTGCCTGGGTTCTCATCACTATGACTTCTGGGAGACAAGAACAGCTCTGATCACTATGAAAAAAGCATTGGCCTGAGGTTGATTAATTCATGGCAAAAATGGCTAGCAAATTTATTGAAGGTGTATACATGAGATATCAGGGATCTCTGGAAGGAAAAGCTCCCAGATGCCAGCAAATCATCCTATTTGTTTGAGAGATTAAGATAGTCCAAGACAATACCAGGCACCTACAGGAGATTTGCCCATATCAAGGGCAACTTCCACTCAGAACCTCTTTGCAGTTGCCCAATTGTAAACCCAAAATGTGTCTGAGGGAGGTCTCCAGCAATTTAGAGGTTTATTTAGCCACGATTGAGGATGAGCCTGGGTAGAAGAGACACGAGGTGCTGTAGGTTCTGGGGCTTGCACTTTTTCCTAAGAGGGTTTTGAGAGCTTCAATATTTAAAGGGAGAACAGTGGGCAGGAGGAGAAAGAGGAAAGAATAAAAAGAGAGGGAGGGCACGTAGTGGGTGAGTGTTCACTGTCTTGTGAGGGTTTGATTAGTGCTCCCTAAATCCACCTGCTGCTTGTGAAAGGAGCAGGCAGAGGAACAGTCAGTTCTGCATTCGTCTCATACCCAGTCCATCCGCATCGACAGGAGATAAAGTCAACATAGAGCACAGGAAGCACTGACATATGCATTTGTGTCGGGGTGGGTGGCGGGATGGTTTCCAGTGTCGTCTTGTGTCACGTACTTGTGAAGATGAACTGTGATTTTACAGTGTCAGGGTGAGGGCGGCCACCCTGGGAGACACATGGCCTTCTGCCTAGCACCTGTCTATCGGTTTAGGATGGAAAGGAAAGGCAGTGTGTTGTGTGACTCAGTTTCCAAGTGTCACTTTTCCATCGTGAGTTTAGGTTCCTGAGATTTTGTTTTCCTTTCATGAGGGGATCCTGTGTTTCCTCATGGGATCCCAGCAGTGGTCAGCGGACAGATTCAGTCAGGTCTAAAACCTCTTCTCTCTTTTCTGTTGTGTTACCTGATCTTTTGGCTTTTGGGTGTATATCAGAAATCACTTTGCATCGCAAGAAAATACCCTTGGTAAGTGTAATACTTCGGGAAGAAATGCATTGTTAAAAATGGATCATGGCAGTTGCTTACAGTGAATAATTATCCCCAGAGGGTGCTGGCTGTTGTTTGTTTTTTATTTTATTTTATTTTTTTGCAGTTTTAGATTTTTAAATAAACATCGCTGAAGAACTAAACACACACACACACACACACACACACACACACACACACACACACACAGAAGCATGCTTTACTGACCCTGTTCCTTAAAGGGCTCCACTCTAAAGCCAGGAATTTAATTAAGATAAGTTAGAAAGCCAAAACATAGCTTCCTAGTAGTTAGCTGGCCTTCTTAAAACTCTTTCCTAAGATAAATGTACATCTTCAAGGGAACCTTGTTCTGTAAGGGTATCTGCCTGTGAACATTAGGAAACTCTTACCATTTTGCTTTAAATACATAAGTCATAACGCTGTTCAAACTACTTTTCCTGATCGTCTTGACTAAGGCCATTCTTCCCCGTGGTTAGAGCAAATGATAGTACAATACTTAGGCCTGCTAGCTTAGCTCTGTACTTTTAAAACAAATATTCGATCTCAGGTGACCTAAGAGCTGTCCGTTGAGAAATGCAAAATGGACTGATCCTCTGTCCCAAACTTTCCCATGCCATAGGTGCATTGAGGAAGTGCTAATTATAGCCTTGAGGAAGAATAAGTAAGGCCAGGAGGCCACACTGACTTGTCCCCTTGCGTGAATCCCCACAGGTTCCTTTCACATCCCTTGCACCCTCCTGCATCAGCCCCTAACTTTTTTCTGCAAAATACGTGGTCCTACAGCATGCCAGCCGACTGCCAGATGGTTCCAAGTTCCTGATACCTACACTGCCTGAGAGAGAGAAGGAAAGCCCCTTATTCAAGTTGTGGATTTCCCTGTCACCAGCCAATCAGCACCAAAAGCCCAAGAAGCTATTAGCTACCTATTCCTACTTTGGGGGAGCTAGGGACTTCTCCCTGGCCCTGCCTGCGTAACGAGGCTCATGGTTTAGATTCTACTGATGTTTTCCCCACTTTAATAGTAAAAAACACATCCCTAGGTGGAGATTGTATATATGGTAATGATATGTGCAATGCTTGTTAGAGCAGAGAGACGCTGATCACATGCGCCAATCCCAGGTCCACCTTTGCACACTTGACCTCACCAGTACCTTATGAATATGCATGCCCAGCTCCCATAAAGGGAATTCCACTTAAGGCACTAGGGGCTGTTTTTCACATTTAGCAGCCTGCTCTGCCTCTCAGAGCATATTTCACTTTGCAGTAAACTTCTCTGCCTACTCTTGGGCACTTTCCCATGCCATACTCTCAAAAGTACTCTCAAATCCTTTTGTGCAGCAAAGTCAAGAACCTCAACCTGCCCAGCGACAACCTCGGAAGAATGTGGGACTGCTTATCTCACTACCTTCCCTCTCTCTTGCTTTCTTTCCTCTGTCCCCTCCTGCCCAATTTTTCCCCTTTAAATACTGAGAGACTCAACACCCTCTTTGGAAAAAGCGTGGGCCCCACATCCTACAGTGACTTGCGTCCGTTTCTCCCAGGTGTGTTCTCAACCTTGGCCGAATAAACCTCTAAACCAATTGAGAACTGTCTCAAACGCTTTTTGGTTTACAAGTCTTGGCTCCTCTCTGAGTTGATGGATGAAAGCCACTGCCCTGCCCTTTGCCTCAGTTTCCTCACCTGCAAACTCAGATCATGATCCTGGTTCATTGAGGGATGATTACAAAACTGCAATCAAAAGGGGAAGTATAAATGCATTGCAATCTACAGTGTGCAGTTCCTGTGTGATTGCCTTCTGTTCCTCCCTCAAAAGCTGGTGTGTGTGTATTGGGTGGTGGCCAGGATGTCCCATGGATGTTTGCCCTGGATGAACTAGGACCCCCTGGAAGGGCCAGGTTGACCTCTGTGGTCCAGCCCCACTCCAGCCCTTCTGCCTGGGACAAAGCAGAACTGTCTGACAGCAATCCAGCTGCATGACTTCTTAGCTGTGGGACTGTGGCCCAGCAGTGGACTTAGGTCCCTCCCTTCAAGGTGTCATGGGAGTGGGGCATGGGGCAGTGGACTCTGTGGATGCTGGAAGGCTTCTCAGAGGAGGCAATGCCATAATTGAGCTCTGAAGGAAGAACATGATTTTTCAGTTGGTGGAAGCCATTGCTCCAGACAGAAGAACCCACATAAGCAAAAGTCCAGAAGCCACAGGGGCATGGTGTTGAAAAACAGTCATAGAGTTCAGCATGCAGTAAGCACCTGGTATGTCTGAGAGATTGTGCTAATGTCGATAGCATGGGGGAGAGTAAGGCAGGCATGCTGGGAGTGTAGGGGGCACAGGCAGAGGGGGAGGAATCTGGGGGGTCCCACAGCCTGTTTCTTCCCGAAGACCATAACAGACCCCCACCCTGAGGATGTGAGGCAGGTGGGTTGACAGAGAAGGTTCTGGAACACTGGGTCTGGGGTTGCTCCTGTAAGTGCAGCAGCAAGGAGGGTGGGACCGGGCTGAAGGTGGTGCCGGGGAGCAGTGTGTTTAGTGGGTTTGCGTGATCACGAGCTGCTGAGAAGTTGTGACTTTTCGTTTCCATTTCAGGTTCTCCAGGTGGCAAAAGATGAAAATTTAAAAGTTATAAAATTGAGCATTTTACCCGTTTTTATTTCCTCTCTTTTTTTTCGTCTTTGATCATCAGGCTGCTGAGTTTCCACAGGCACAGGACTGCCCAGTATCCCTGGCAACTCCATGGGGTCTTCTTCCTAAATTGTGGCCAATGGAAGGTGAGAGCAGTGATGTCTGCAACTTGTAGGTGTTTCTCTTAAGGGGAAGATTCCTGTGTTTTGTGTCCTCTTCTGTTCTTTGGGCTGGGATGTATGGGTAAGCGCCAGCTTCCACGTGGAAAACAACAACTCCCTCTGAGTGGCAACCCCTGGTCGACCTTCGGGAGCAAAACCACCTGCCACTGAAACTGCCTAGCAACGTTGGTGTGAATGTCTCAGTTCAGCAATCTCCTATATCATTGATTGAATATATCGGTAATTGGGAGCTCTTTGTTATGGCAGCTTGGCATCGGTGACCTAAGTAACTCAAGGCCCACCCCTAGGTTCCATCTCCACCCTTGGCTCTAAGTCTCTTCCTCCTTCTGAATTCTGCCTTTGTGACCATCTCCTTTGGGCTGACCACAGCTTGGAGGTGGCTTTGATGTTGACTTCTCCTAGGACCTTGTCATCCCCTCTAAGGGAGCGCATGGATAAGTGACCACTTCAGGCAGCTGAGACTGAGTTTCCAGACCAGCCCAGTCCAGCTCCTACATCAGATGAACTGGAGGACCGTTGGGGGAAACTGGGCAAAGAGTCTGCAGGGCCTCTCTGTGCTAGTTTTGCAACTATTTTTCCAGCTGTGCTGTTTTGTCTTGTGAGTCTATCATTATTTGTCTTAGAAATGAAAAAATTTCTATAATTTAAGCACTGAATCGTGAGGATCAGTAGGTGAAAAAGGGAAGCCATGCTGGGTGCATTGGCTCCCTCCTGTAATGCTATAACTGGCTCAAGTCCAGCTGCTCACCACTCAGTGGCCAAAAACACAGGAAGTGAGTTGCGGTGAAGGGAAAGCAGCTTCATTCAAGTGCTCACAGTGGGGGAATGATCAGGCTCATGCTCTTAAAAGATCATTTCTACTTTAGGCTGGAGAGAGGGGTTTAGAAAGGGAAAATTGGAATTGGAGGTGTGTGGGAGTGGTGCAGGAGGGTGCAGGTCTGTGTCTTGTTCCAATGGCTGTCTTGAGAAGTAGCCCGTCAGGAGGTCCAATTGGCATCATTTGGACTTTACCCTGTTGGTGGTGGATTAATTGTTGGTAACTCCCCCTAAGCCGGAGAATTTTGCACCTGGGTTTCTCTGCCTGTTTTTTTTTCAAAATTCACTCCTTGAATTTCTATGCACCCACATCATTAGATAAGTGAGCACTGTGCACAAGAGAGCTTGGTGAGAAAGGGAGGGGAAAGGAATTTTGAAGTACATTTTAAAGCTACATTCTGAGATTAAGACAGAAAGAAAAATAATGTTAAAGTACATTTCAATGCTGGGTTACTCGATTACAACTCCAGTACATTGGGAGGCTGAAGCAGAAGGGTTACTTGAGGCTAGGAGTTTAAGACCAGCCTGGGCAACATCATGAGACCTCATCTCTACCAAGAAAGTTAAAAAATTAGCCAGACATGGTGGCACATGCCTGTAGTTTCAGCTGCTTGGGTTCCTGCAGTGGGGGGATCACTTGAGCCCAGACGTTTGATCTGCTGCTGCACCCCAGCCTGGGCAACAGAGTGAGATCCTGTCTCTAACAAAAAAGGAAGCCAAGGCCAGTTGTGTGGCCTTGGGGAAATGATTTTATTTTCTGAGTCTGTTTCTGGTCTGTACATGGGGATAGGAGAAACATCAAGAGTACTAGAGAGTGCATGGAGAAGATGAAAATGTAACCAAGTATCCCATTTTATTTTTTGTTTGTTTGTTTCTGGTCTCCTCTCTTTGTCCATTTCTTGTTTTGCTTTTAGTAATGTGTGAATCTTTGTTCTCCTTTTCTACTAGGAACTCCCCTCCCATGCACTGTATTTTATTTAATCATGTTAGATTGCTTAGAAATTCCAGGGAAGATGTTGCAGGAAGTCAGGGAGCCCGAATGGAGGGACCGGCTGGAGCCGCAGCAGAGGAACATAAATTGTGAAGATTTCATGGACATTTATCAGTTCCCAAATAATACTTTTATAATTTCTTATGCCTGTCTTTACTTTAATCTCTTAATCCTGTTATCTTCCTAAGCTGAGGATGTACGTCACCTCAGGACCACAGTGATAATTATGTGAACTGTACAAATTGATTGTAAAACATGTGTGGTTGAACAATATGAAATCAGTCCACCTTGAAAAAGAACAGAATAACAGCGATTTTAGGGAACAAGGGAAGACAACCATAAGGTCTGACTGCCTGCAGGGTCGGGCAAAAAGAGCTATACTTTTCTTCTTGCAGAGAGCCTATAAACAGATGGGCAAGTAGGGAAGATATTGCCAAATTCTTTTCCCAGCAAGGAATATTAATATTAATACCCTGGGAAAGGAATGCATTTCTGGGGGGAGGTCTATAAACGGCCGCTCTGGGGATGTCTGTCTTATGCGGTTGAGATAAGGACTGAGATATGCCCTGGTCTCCTGCAGTACCCTCAGGCTTATTAGGGTGGGGAAAAAGTCCACCCTGGTAAATTTGTGGTCAGACCGGTTCTCTACCCTCAAACCCTGTTTTCTGTTGTTTAAGATGTTTATCAAGACAATATGTGCACCGCTGAACATATCAGTATTTCTGCTTTTGCCCTTTGTCCTGTTCCCTCAGAAGCATGTGATCTTTGTTAGACCCTTATTAGTAGTTCTGCTTTTTGCCCTTTGAAGCATGTGATCTTTGTACCTACTCCCTGTTCTTACACACCCTCCCCTTTTTAAAACCCTGAATAAAAACTTGCTGATCTGAGATTCAGGTGGGCATCACAGTCCTGCTGATATGTGATGTCACCCCCAGCAGCCCAGCTGTAAAATTCCTCTCTTTGTACTGTCTCTCTTTATTTCTCAGCTGGCCAACATTTATGGAAAATAGAAAGAACCTCCATTGAAATGTTGGGAGTGTGTTCCCCCAGTAGAAGAAATCTTGAAACCATCCAGGAAGCTACAGAATTGCCTCAAGGCTACATTGAATTTTCAACCTGGCTATCCTGGAGATGTCCCCAGTCCATACACCCGATGGGGCAATAACTCAAGATGGTCATTGGACAAGTCATGTAGACTGGCACTTCTTCACCACTCTTGCATGCCTTTCATATCAAGTTTCCCTTTTGAAACACCTGCCCTCAGTTCAAAATCTGAAATGGTTTCTCTAAGGCACTAGCCTGACCTCATCCCCAGATATGGGCTTTTGGAATGAAGTCACTTTCCTTTCACTGCTTCTCATCCTTGTTCATTTGCCTTTGCAAGCAGTGAGCAGCTGAACTTTTCTTCAGTTACAAATGGAGATAATGCAGACATCATGATTGCTCACTGCCCTGTATACAGAGTGAGTGCTCAGAAATATTGATTCTTGTTTAATGAGCATCTACTATATGCCATGCATATTCCCCACCCTGCCTGAATTTATTCTCTTAGGAATTCTGAGAGGTAAATTCTATGATTAGCTTTATTCTACAAGCAAGAAAACTGAGTCATGAAGCCAAAAACTGGGGAAAGTGATTTCCAGCTGTCTGATGCCAAATATCCTCTCCAGCTCATGGGAGGGACAGAAATCTGGACAGGACATTGGGGCACACTCTATGATGTCAACATTTCAGGGTAGGTTTTGCAAATTTCTGGACATGGGGTCTGTTTCAGGAGCATGTTAATCCTTGATGGGGTTACAGTTGGTCATAACCAGCCCAGCCATACCCAGCTCCCTGTGGCCATCAGCCATAGAACAGGTGGGACTTGGGCAACACATTCTGATGGTATTTGGAGTTTTGTGATTCATCTTGAGCCAACAGGGAGAAAGTGAGGAAGAAAATTAGATTTTCAGAATACTTGAGAAATTTCAGGAAATCATTTCCTTTAGGGGAAACAGGATGGTCCAGAAAATGAAACAAAACAAGAACCAGAAAGGTCCAGCTACAAGCCCAGCTCTGCCTCTTTCTGAGTAACTCATTTCACCCCATTTGAACCTTTGTTTTCTCTTCTGGGAAACGAGGCTAGGAAGAAAATGTTTTCATCACAGGGCTGTTGTTGAAACTTGTATGATTATGTGTGTAAAAATGTTTAGCAAACCAGAAAAGGCTCAGGTGCTATTATTTTTTTTTCTGCAAAGGTGGGTTTTCAAGGATTTTAAAAACTTTTTTAATTGGGCCTGGTGCAGTGGCTCACTCCTGTCATCTCAGCACTTTGGGAGGCCAAGGCAGGTGGATCACAACATCAGGAGATTGAAACCATCCTGGCTAACATGGTGAAACCCTGTCTCTACTGAAAATACAAAAAATTAGCTGAGCGTGGTGGCATGCACCTGTAGTCCCAGCTGCTGGGGAAGATGAGGCAGGAGAATTGCTTGAACCTGGGAGGTGGAGGTTGCAGTGAGCCGAGATTGCGCCACTGCACTCCAGCCTGGGTGACAGAGCAAGACTCCATCTCAAAACAAACAAGCAAACAAACAAACAAACAAAAATTAAATTGTGGTAAAATATTCCTAACCTAAAGTTGATCATTTTAACCATTTTTAGGTGTACAGTTCAGTGGAATTACATTCACATTGTTGTGCAACCGCTATCATCCACAGAACTTTTCTTCTTGCAAAATGGAAACTTTGTATCCAGCAAGCCATAACTCCTTATTCTCCCTCCCCTGGGCCCTGACAGCAAAACTGGAAAAAAAAAAAAAAAGCTGATGTGTTCAGGAAGGTTGCTAAGCCAATATCAAATGGAAGAAGGTAATTACATGGGACTGAATTACTAAAGGACTGAAATTAATTTCAGTCCTTTATTAAGTCCTTTGCCTATAGAGTTCCTTTACAGGGTTCCTGAACTGTGGTAAATAAAGAATATCACTTTCTGACAGGCCCAGGAAGCCCAAGTGATCATGGGGCCTCGAGAAGAAAGGAACTCACCCAATTCATACAGGTATCTGCAGGCAAACATAAATTCGTGGCTGAGCTCAAGGTTTTAAAGGGCCTACTCTGAGATAGCTTATGAATACGAAAATGGCCTAGCAAAGTCAAATTTTAAAAAAGACTCCTTATGCCACAAGATTATTCTTCTGCACTTTATGCAAATAATCAGGCCAAGTATTAGAAGACTAAAACTTATTTTGCAAATAAATGCGTCCTACTATGATTTGTCTTTGGTAGAAATAGAGTACTAGAGAGAGAAAATGTGTTTTAAAAGAAACTATAAAACGTCTGTTATGAGATTCTAGCTTTGTCCATTGTTTTCCAGCTTTATTATTTGTCTACAATTTATCCGCACTAGATATTGAATTCTTTCCTGGCTACAAGTCTCCAAACTAACATATTCCTTTTGTTTTTCTCTCATTTTTCTGACTTGGCATCACCAGAAATCAAAACTGTCCTTTTTCTAAACCCCTGCAAGCAAACGGAAGGTGGAATACTTTGTGTTACAGAATTCAGACCAACCCCGTGACTGGAGATTCTTTTGCTTCTACACTGTTTTCTCCAAAAGATATTGAAAAACAAAGAGAAAATGTGAAAGGAAAATCAAATCTCAGGGCCCCAAATTCACTATACCAGTGGAACCAGTTAAGCCTGGAAACAGAGTCACTCCAGAACCTGCCTTTGTTTTTGTTTCTAAACAGATATTTGCAAAGATGGAAGGCAACATATACCCCAGTTGGCCTGCCTCACAAATTCCTCACAAAGAAAATCCTTGTAGGTCCCCAAATTTTCACCCTGAGACAGACTTTGTATAATTTCACTGTGACAATGCAAACTGGCAACTTATCTTGACTGGTACCTAACAATGACAAGAGTGGAAGTGACCCTTCTGCCCACACTCAGACAAATGCACATATGCCTACTTCCTCTACTTTCTGTTTATTTTTATCTTATAGAAAATGTAGATTAACTGTGCACAAGAAGAATGAATAATGGACTGTTCCTCTAACCCCCTTTCACATGGAACCTATGGATTCAGGGAGGGCCGATCAAAGCCTCACAAAAATGTGACCACTCAGCTCATTACCTATCCTGTCTTTTTTCCTTCCCTCCTTCCACGCCTGCCTGATTTTACACATTTAAATGTTGAAGCCCTCAAAACCCTCTGGGAATAATGAGTGGGCCCCAGATCTTCCTGTGACTTGCGTGTCTTTTTCCTGGGTGCATCCTCAACCTTGGCAGAGTAAACCTCTAAACTGACTGAGACGTGTCCCAGACCCTCTTTGGTTGACAAGTCTTGGCTCCTCCCTGAGTTGCTGGATGAAAGCAACTTCCTCGCCCCTTGCCTCAGTTTCCTCATTTGAAAACTTAGATCATAATCCTGGCCCATTGAGGGGATGATTATAAAATTCAATCAAATGGAGAAGCATTTGCAAATGGAATGTATTGCAAAGTGTATTGTGCAGTCCCTGTGTAATCACCTTTCTGTTCCTGTCTCAAAAGCTGGTGTGTGTGCGTATGGGTGGGGGGAGGTGGCCACGATGCCCCCAGCGATGTTTGCTCAGGATGAAATAGGCCCCCATGGAAGGGTCAGGTTGGCTTCTGAGGTTCAGCTGTCTTTGAGGCCCTTCTGCCTGGGGCAAAGCACAAAAGTCCAATAGCAATCTGGTTGCATGACTTCTTAGCCATAGAAGTGTGGCTGAGCAGTGGTCTCTAGTCCCTCCACCCTGTGTGCCTCGGGAGTGGAACACGGGGCAGTGGCCTCTGCTTGGGAGGATGCTGGGGGATCTCTGACAGGAGGCAATGCCTGATTTTGTCACTGAACGATGAGCATGATTTTTCCAGGTGGTGGAAGCAGGGGATCCCGGCAGAAGACCCCACATAAGCAAATATCTAGAAGCCACAAGCCATGGCCTTCAACAAGAGCAGGCCTGGTGCGGTGGCTCATGCCAAGGTGGGAGGATCACTTGAGGCCTGGAGTTCAAGAGTAGCCCAGTCAATATAGTGAGACACCATCTCTAATATAACTTTTTTAAAAATTAGCTGGGTGGTTGGCTGATGCCTGTAGAAACAGCTACTCAGGAGGCTCAGGTGGGAGGATGGCTTGAGCCCAGGGGTTTGAAACTGCAGTGCACTATGACTGTGGCGGTGCACTTCAGCCTTGGCTACAGAGTGAGACCCTGTCTCCAGAACAAAACCAAAATAACCCCAATGGCCTTACAATAAATATACAATAAGGATCCACTTGGCATGTGTAGGAGACTGTGCAAATGCTGATGGTATGGGCAGGAGTAAGGCAGGCATCAGGGGAATGTGGAAGCACGGGAGGACGGGGAGTAATCTGAAGGGTCCCACAGTATGTCAGTGGCAGGTCTTTCTTCCTGAAGACTATAGCAGACCCCCAACCCCGAGGATGCCAGGCAGGTGGGTTGGATGAAAGAGACCTGGAGGTCTGGTCTCAGGCTGCTCCTCTAAGCGCAGCAGCAAGGAGGGTGGGGCTGGACTGCAGGAGGTGCTGGGGAGCAGCGTGTTTGCTGTGCTTGATTGTGAGCTGCTGGGAAGTTGTGACTTTCATTTTACCTTTCGAATTCCTGGGTATATCTTGGGGGCTGGAGGACGTGTCTGGTTATTATATAGGTGCACAGCTGGAGGTGAGATCCACACAGCTCAGACCAGCTGGATCTTGCTCAGTCTCTGTCAGAGGAAGATCCCTTGGTAAGTTGGGGATGGTGTGACCTCCCTCCATCTCCTTATTCTCGCAATAGCTCTATGAGGGAAGGATCATTCAGCTTTTGTAGATAAGCTCGGAGAGGTTAGGTAACTCGTTCAGATCAGACAGGAAAGCAGTGGTAGAGCCGGGATTTGCACCCAGGCTTGAGTCTGATTGCTCCCTCCCTCCTGCTGGGCCCTTAAACCGTAGAGAGAGGTGGGGAAATAGCTCAGATGGGTTCACAAAGCTCTCTGGGCTCAGCTCTGTTTTAGACTGCTGAGACATGGCCAGGTGACCCCAGAAGGAAGGTTTGTGTTGGGGGTGCCCATCTCTTTGGGAAATTTGAAGGAATCAAAGAAGGTGGAGGTGGGGAGGTGACCTGGAGCCCGGTCTGTCCTTATGGTCTGGCCACAACCAGGCTGGCCCCGGGGTGCGGCTGCTGAGGCCTGATGAGGCAAGAGATTTCTTTTGAGATACAAGGAACCTAGAGGTCATCTCACCCACCCTGAGTCTGAGCACCTACTTGTGCCAGGCCCTGTGGGGAAACTGAGGCCCTGGGAGGGGAGTGACTTGCCCAGGGTCCAGTGTCAGGAGGCTGAGCAGGTAGATCATAGGACTCCATGTCTGTGGCCCTCACCTCTGTCCCTCTGTTCAGACCTCTGGGGTGATGGAGAAGAAACAGGCTGTGCTGTGTCCCTAATGGGAAACTGTAGGGAGACCCCCTGAAACTATTGCTACGGAATAAAAGATGAAATGCTCCTGATTATTGTAAATACAAAATTGCATGCAGGATTGTGTAAAGACAATGCCAGGTTGGACTGCCAGAACGAACCAACAGCACGTGATGTGCTTCCCCCTGCAGAGAGCCTATGAATGGATGCAGGGGGGCGCCTGTCCATATGGACAAGCTAGGGCTATAAATGCTATCATCTTGCCGTGGCTCTTCTAGGCATCTTTAGGGTTCAGGTATACTCCCTTCTGAGAATTTCTAGTCTAACCGGTTATCTAGCTTCACGTCCTGTTTCCATGGATTGTCAGTAACCAGCTTTTGTTGCAATTGTTACTGCTGATTAATATCTTGCTAATCATAGGTTATGGAAAGATTGTGTTTCTGTTTTAAGGCTCTGTTAGAAATTACTGACGCACACACTATATTGTAAATTCTTATCTCTGTATACTGTACTTCTACATACAAATGCACTGTACTTCTACATACGAATGTTATGTTAAAGAATTACTTCATCCCCATGTGACCATCCCACCTCGTAATCAAATGACCCTAAATCCCTCACTAACCTACCCCCGCCCTCACTAAACTGAATAATAAATGCTGGTATATCCAGTGCATTGTTGACCAGAAGGCGGTGACCCCCCTGGACCCAGCTTTCACTATCTTGTGTGTGTCTATTATTTCTCAACCTGCCGATCCGCCTAGGAGCAAAGAGAGAGCCCCGTTGCACTGGGGGCTGCTGGCCAGATCCCGCAATAGGAAACATGGCTGAGACAGGGGAGTGAGAAGGTCGCATTGCAGAATGGTGCCTGTGGCATGACGCCAGCTTTGTAATCATGAGATTCAAAAGCCACCTGTGGAATTGTGAGTGTAACTACAGGAGTGAGAGCTTAGATCTCTGTGTTTGTAGAAGCAGAATCAAACCTGGACACTGTTGGATTACTAAAATCACCCGTTTTTCTTCAATAGCAGAGTCACAAGGGCAGATGTTGGCTTCCCGTCTGCTCTCCAAGAGCTGTGCGACTCTGGGCAAGTCACCTCCCCTCCCAGCCTAAGATTTTCCCCTCTCAGAAACCTGATAGAGCTGCCAAAAGTCCATGAAATCAGGGGGGTAATTTCTGTGAAATCTGAGTCGTGGTCTTATTTTTCTTTTTCTTTTTTTTTTTTTCTTTTTTCTGAGATGGAGTCTCGCTCTGTTGCCCAGGCTGGAGTGCAGTGGCGCAATCTCTGCTCACTGCAAGCTCCGCCTCCCGGGTTCACACCATTCTCCTGCCTCAGCCTCCCGAGTAGCTGGGACTACAGGCGCCCGCCACTACACTCGGCTAATTTTTGTATTTTTAGTAGAGATGGGGTTTCACCATGTTAGCCAGGATGGTCTCCATCTCCTGACCTTGTGATCTGCCTGCCTCGGCCTCCCAAAGTGCTGGGATTACAGGCGTGAGCCACCGCTCCCGGCCTGATTTTTCTTCACCAAAAAGAGATGCCCATCAAGATAGAAAGCACTATAGCTGAAGCCTGTAATCCCAGTGCTGTGGGAGGCAGAGGCGGGAAGATCACTTGAGGCCAGGAGTTCAAGACAGCCTGAGAAACACAGGAGATGCTGTCTCTATGAAATCAAAAATTAACAAATTAGCCCAGCATGGTAGCGTGCACCTGTAGTCCCAGCTACTCAGAAGGTTGAAGGAGGAAGATCACTTGAGCCCAGCAGATCTAGGCAGCAATGAGCTAGGATGGCGTCAAAGCCCTGCAGCCTGGGTGACACAGCAAAACGGTTTATTAAAAATGAAATGAAAATGGTGATTTCTCAGGAGGAGCACACTGTCTCAACCCCTCTTTTCCTGCCCAAGGAGGAGGCCCCGCAGCGACATGGAGGGAGCTGCTTTGCTGAAAATCTTTGTCGTCTGCATCTGGTGAGCTTGGCTCAGAGCCCTGAGGTGGGAGGGAGGGCTCCCTGTCTGGGCTGCACAATTGGGCAGGGCTTGGGCTGGGCCAGGAGCCATGTGGGTTTTTCTAGGAACCAAAATCACTTCCCGGAATTGACCAACTGGTAGACTCGCCTAGAGGGGACGCACTGTGTCCTAGTTGAGGCTAACAGTCAGTATCCAGCCTCAACATTCAGCAGAGGCCCCAGATCAGCGTCTGAGCCAGGCCAACAATGACCAAGGAGGATGGGATCCTGGGTGCAGCTCATCACAAGCGTCGGGTGAGTCCGAGGCCCCAGCTCTCTGCCCTCCTGCTCCTCTGCTCTCTCCTGGTCCTCCCAGTTCTACTGGCTCATGGTGTTGAGATGGTTGCCTTGGCCTAGGGGGTCACACAGTGAACAAAGCAGGAAGAAGGCGAAGGGATGCCCCTCTCCTGTCACCCCTGTCCCTTACAGCAAGAAGCGCCCAGACGCCCCTCTGCATACTCCCCTGGTGAATGCTGCCCAGGACTGGGTCCCCCTTTTACCCTTGTTGCATGGGGGCCCCAGAAGACAGACATCTGTGTGTCTGAACCCTGAGACAAAGGCAGGAAAGGGAAAGAGGGAGGCGAGTGGCTTTTGAGGAGGGGGCTTTAGTATGAGAGCTGGAGGATGGAACCCCATCAGGGGGCCCGGGAACCACTGAGCTGTTAAAATAAAGTCTGCAAACAAAGACCAGCTGCTGGAAGTGGGTGTGCCAGGGAGTGCGCAGAGACACACGGTGAGAAAAGAACAATGGTAATGCTTGGAGCCGCCCCTAACTGGGATGGGCCTGAAATGGTATTGTTATTATTTATAGTATCATTATTAGTCATTTTCATCTTATTTGTACCCTCCCTCTATCTCTCCTCTCCACCTTTTCCTAACATTCTATCACCAGTTTTATGTCTTCCATTAGCAACTTTGTAGCTGTAAACAATTTACTTACAACTTTCTTATACCCTCAGTTGTACCCAGTATTTCTTAACTTCCATCTTTAAAAAATGACAATATTAATCCTCCTTCTCCTTTGTTCAGTGCTTCACATCTCAACTGCTACCTTCGTGCCTTAAAGTTTGTACTAATTGGTATTGATAACAAGATATTTAGTTCTCAAATTTACATGTTGTGTATATATTTTTTGTCCTGATAAAGAGACTACTGAGAGCCAGTAAGACTGAAAGAATGGGCATCTTCATATACTGCTAGTTTGAGTGTGAATTGGTACAATTTGCATGTAGTGTGGCTCTAGGTATAAAACATTTTGAGATGTTGATACCCTCTGACCTAGTCATTCTACTCCTACAAATATCTTAAGGAAATAAAATCAAATGTGGGCAGTTTTACGTGAAGGAGGGTGTTCTTTGTAGCATAATTTACATGAAGAATTAGAAACACCCTAAGGTCCATCAGCTAGGGGAGGACAGCAGAGGGAACAGGGCAGCGCCAGGAGGGCTCGGCAGCCACAGCAGGGGCTAGGCCGGCATCTGGCAGGATCCAGGTCTTTGTGGGACAAAGGATCTTAGAGAAGCAAGGGGGACACAGGCTGTCCACTGCAGCACCAGTGAATTCACCAAGACGAAAAGTTGAGCACGGAGTGTGAGACATGGATTTGCAATGAGGAGTCATTTACCATGAGCGTGTATACATGACTCAATATTGTATATTTAAGGGAGTAGAGCACAGTCATTGAAGACATGAGGTTGAAGCAGAAGTCCTGGCTCTAGCAATAGAAAACACTGGCAAGTTCCCTAACTTTTGTGGATTCCTCTGTGTTCAAATGGGAAAGTGGTACCCATCTCCCGGGCTGTGTGTGATCATTGAATGAGACACATGTCAGAAGCCCTGCACATCACAGGCCCGGCGCGACCGCTCACGCCTGTAATCCCAGCACTTTGGGAGGCCGAGACGGGCTGATCATGAGGTCAGGAGATCGAGACCATCCTGGCTAACACGGTGAAACCCCTTCTCTACTGAAAATACAAAAAATTAGCCGAATGTGGCGACGGGCACCTGTAGTCCCAGCTACTCGAGAGGCTGAGGCAAGAGAATGGCGTGAACCTGGGAGGCGGCGCTTGCAGTGAGCCGAGATCGCGCCACTGCACTCCACCTGGACGACAGAGCGAGACTCCGTCTCAAAAAATATAAATAAATAAAAATAAAAATAAAAAAAGAAGCCCTGCACATCACAGACACTCAATACAGACTGGCTATCATCAATTAGTTGTCACACATGTTTCCGGTCATTGTTAGAACGTTCCTTCCCATCTCTATTTCTGCGTATAGACTGTGTAGTTTCTGTAATGATCAGATGGCTGCCCCTCCTCTGATTATCTTCTCCTCATTCTCCAACAGGACAAGCGGACTTTTCCTTGGTGTGAGAGTGAGGGAAGAGGGAGCTGGAATGAGTTGAGTGTCTGTAAATAGCAGATGATGGGGACTTGGTGATAGAGAAAGAATCTGGGTTAGGTTGGTCTTGGCATTTGCTGCCACCTCAGAGGGATCTGCAGAGGCCCAGCTGTTCAAGCCTCCCTTTGCCCATAGGTGGCTCACATTCAATCCCACAATTTGTTTTCTCTTCCTCAAGGGTGCAGCAAAACCATCCAGGCTGGACAGTGGCTGGACAGTTCCAAGGTAAGCCTTTCAGAGACCTGGCTGCTGGTAGGCTCGCCTCCTCTTCCCTGGCTGGTTCCTACCCACAGCTAGAATGGAGGGTGGTGTCTTCAAGGCTGAGTGAGCCCCAACGGAACCCAGACGGAGGTGGCTGATGAGGCTGCCCCAAGCCCCAAGAGAGGCCACGTGGAGTCCCCTGACCCAGGGTTCTGGGGGGCATCTGCATCCTGACCTCTCCTCAGCGGGTCATGGCCCAGGTGCCCACTTCCTCCCTACCCTGACACCTAGCAAATGACTTAAGTGGGGCAGGACAGCCTTGGGGAAATGGAAACAGCAGGGTTGGCTTTTGAGGGTTGGCCAGGAGTAGCGGAGGGGTGGGAGAGGAGGTTGACCAGCAGCCCTGACCTCTCACCTCCCTCTCTGCTCCTGGCTGACCCTGGGGTGTTTCCAGCAGAGGCCGGTCCCCTCCCTCCAGCTCTTGCCCTGCACCAGCCCCTCTGCTCTGAGTGGCCCTGTGGGTAGAGTGACCCAGCTTCCCACTGAACTGGACCCCATTCTGGTCTTGGCCATGTCCCCTCTGTGTGACCTGGAGCTCCTTACTCCTCCTCACCTGCACCACTAGGATATTTGCCCATGTTGTCATGAGGATCAAACATTACATGGGTACCTGGGCCAGCCAGTGCCTGCCACACAGTACGGCCTCCCTAAGGGGTGGTTCCCATCCCCTCTACCTGACCCCTGTTGATTGTAAGTGGAAGCCACCCCCTTCCCGAGCTGTGTTAGGGCACCCACCCTGCACTGCCTGTCACAAGCACCTCTTTATCTGGGCTGAGTCCAATCATCGAAAGTACCCCTTGTCAAAGAAACATCTGAGGCACAACAACATTTATCTGAATAAGAAGGAGTTCATAAATAGAGAAAACCAAACTGGAGGAGGTTTTGTGTTATGATGAAAAACTGTGGAAGACAAGTGTTTATCGGGTGAATATGGAAGTGCAATTAGGACATTATTTGATTAGTTCCAGTGATAAAACTGCCTGTTTTGCTTTACCTTGTTGGAAAATTCCTGGTCATGTTGATGCCGGTGGGTTTAGGGAGGTCTCTGAATGCAGGTGAGACCGGACCTTAGCCTTGTCCAGGATTCTGACAACGAAGAGAGAAAGAATTTGAGGCAAAGCCAAAGCAAATTAGCTTTTATTGCAAAGCAGAAGCGCAGGCTCAGGGGTGGGAGTGCAGGCGGACTCAGAAGAGCCAGTCGGGCCCAGTGGGGTTTGGGGTTTCTGACTTTGTGGGTTTACTAAGTTAAGGGGCAGAGTAAGCATAAGGATTTATGGGAAGAGGCGGGGATTTCTTGGAACTGGGGGGCCACGCAGTTTTGTTGCAAGCATGGAACTTCTGTGGCACAGGTGGGTGTGGGACAAGGAGGGTATGATTGAGTCTGGGGTGAAAGGTGGGTCAGACCCAGTGCTGAGTTAGATCTTACTGGTCTTAGCCAGATTGGCCACTTCCTGTTTGTCAGGGTCCTCTGGGCCCATCCCCTCCCCCTGTCCCTACAGCTGGTTACAGCAGCTCCTTCTGTGTCCATTATGTGAACCTGCTGCCTGGAGTTCTTGTTCTTTCTGTGACCTCCCAGTATCCACATCTCAGCATGGCCCTCTGTCAGCTGGCTGCTCATGACTGGCCGAGGTTAAGCTGTGTTTGTGTCTGACAGAAGCGCCCATCTGATATGACCCCAGTTCAGATTCATAGCTTGCAGTTTCATGGGGGGTTACAGCTGTTCTGAAGGTCTGGTTGGTTTTGTTTGCCCGGGAATGTTTCAGGTCTGGTTTTTATTTTAATTTTGCTTTAATATTCACCATCCCCACCCCATCAATAAAACACAAATTTAGTGCTGGAGGTTCCCTCCATCCAACCCTGAGTTTCCTTCCTCCTTTTGGTGAAGAAGGAAAAAGAAAAAACAAGACAATCCCTCGCCCAGCCAAGTCAGCACTGCGTTCATTTCCCTAAGCCCCATTTCCTCAGGAGGGCTTCCTCCCCTTACAGAGTTGCCATGGCAACCAAGTCAGCTCTGCTCAGGGGCCGCCCTGGACAGCAAACTGGGCTGTGCTGAGTCCTGTCCAAGATGAGGGGAGGGCAGGGAAGATTAGAAGCTGAGAGCTCTCAGCCAATCCCAGAATCCTTAGGAAGGGCTGGGCTGGGCGGCCAAGGAAGAAGCTCTCCCTCTGAAACAAGATGATCTGTGGTTTACTAACGGGGCCAGCTGGGTTCAGAGGTGCCAGTGGGGAGCCGTGTACCCTGAGACCAGCCTGCAGGGGACAGAGGCAACACGGAGGGGCCACAAGGATCAGTGCTGAGGGTCCCACTCCCCTGCCCACCTAAAGAACCCCCTCCACTGCCCATCTGAGAGAGCCCATGACCAGCAGGAGGAATCCTCTGTGCAAATAAAATGTTTAAAACCCCACAGGTATACTACAGGGGAGAATGCAGAAACCACAGGCATTTTTTAAATATATGGAGTCTTCAAAGTAATGGCAAGGGAACGCTGGCCTTGAGTCAAATCCTGAGCTTCCTGCTTGCTGGGTTGGGTGGTGTCTCTCGCTGTCTGGGTCTCAATTTCTCCTTCTGTGAAATGAGAATGAGGCCTCGCACGTATGAGCACAGCAGGAAACAATTATACATCATGTCCCAGTGCATACATAAATACAAACTGGTTCCCAGCCCCTTCTCTGGAGTTCCATAATTCCCAAATCCCTGCAAACCACACATTTTTGGGGCAACTCATCTGGGCAGTAATCCTGCTGTGTACTAAGATGCTTTGTAGTGATAATATTATGTATGCCACTTAAGGTGAATATTCATTGGTTTCCTGGTTGAAACATTTGTACCTTTGATTACAAGGTGGGGCCCAGTCCCTGCTGGGAGTGGTCAGTGATAAACCATATGCACCCTCTGTCCCTTCTAGAAGATTGAAAATGCTGCCATCCTAAACACATCTAGATCCCAGGAATTTACATAAGGGTCTATAGGTATATTTCAAGTATCTTACAAAAGAATACTCACTCTTGCTATGTTCAATATACTCTGATATTTTCAATGCTCTTTTCTTTTTAAAATGCTGCTCTTGACACAATGAACTATTGTCATAACCCACTGATGGGTCAAAATTCAGATTTTGAAGACACTGGTGTAAAGTGTTTGACAATAGGCACATGGCAGGAGGAAGCGATCACTGGAATATTTCCCGTACATGGGGAGAAAACATGGTGGAAAGCTCACTTTCTGGTGATTCTCAGCTGAAATAGATTGGTTCCTCCACAAAGCATCGTGGCACTTCCCTGGTGAATCACTCTTCTCAGGATGCCTTAGTAAAATGCCACAAGCTGGGTGGCTTCAACAACTGACGTATTTTCTCACAGTTCTAGAGGCAAGAAGTCCAAGGTGAAGGTGCCAGCAGGGTTGATGTCTGGGGAGGGCTCTGCTCCTGGCTTACAGAGGCTGCCTCAGGGCTGTGTCCTCACATGGCCTTCACAGTGGTGTGTGTGTGTGTGTGTGTGTGTGTGTGTGTGTGTGTGTGAGAGAGAGAGAGAGAGAGAGAGAGAGAGAGAGATCATCTGTCTCTTTTTTTTCTTTTAATTGGACACCAGTCCTATAGGAGTAGGTCCCTACTCTTATGACTCCCTTTAAATTAATGACTTCCTTAAAGGCTCAATCTCCAAATACGGTCACTGGGGTTTAGAGCCTCAGTATTTGAATTTGGGGGGCACACAATTCAGTCTATAGCACTGGTGCCTCCATCAAAAATACCCCATGTGACAGCTGGTTCAGGAGGATTAACACCGAACCACCTTATACTCAATGCCATTTATGTGGTAGCAAACTTTCTTCCAATCTTATCCTTTTTGTTTCCAACTAGAAAAGAAACGCTTCACTGAAGAAGTCATTGAATACTTCCAGAAGAAAGTTAGCCCAGTGCATCTGAAAATCCTGCTGACTAGCGATGAAGCCTGGAAGAGATTTGTGCGTGTGGCTGAATTGCCCAGGTAACCTCCATGGGGTTACCTCCTTGGGGCACCCCGGTGATGCCACCCAGATCTCCCCGGGCTAGTTTTCTCTGGCAGGCACACCTCCTCCAGGCAGCCCCCTCTGCTGGGCTTGAGGATGTCCCTCTCAGCAGTGCAGGAAGAATATTTCCTCCAAGTGCTTCGCTGGCAGTGAGTGACCTCAGGCTGAGGGGAGAAGAAGCCCACAAGGGCAGGGTCAGTTCTGCCATCTACTGGTGATGGGAGCTTTGCAAGCTACTTGACTACTTTCTGCTTTCCTTTCTTCATCCATTGAGCTTTATTGTGAGAAAAATAAGATAATGCATGTAAAGTATTTAGCATAATGACTGACACACAGTAGGTGCTCAGTTAGCGTTACCTTTTACAAAACTTGCTGGCAAGAGACCAGGGCCAAAAGTCTTTTTCTTAGAGATGGAAGCCCAGCAGGACTTTCTTTGGGAAAAGTCAGAAAAATCTTGACCTGATCAATGTGTGTTCCCGGAGATGCTGTCTGGGGCCCTTTTCCTGAACTTCTGAGGAACTGCACAAACACAGCAGAATCCTTCTGCTGACCCAGGACACAGAGAGGCTGGAATGGAGTTGGACAGAGCTGGGGTGGATCCTGGCTCTGTCCCTGCACAGCTCTGGGGCTGTTGGTTTATGTCTTGGAGACTGGGACCTGCCGTCTGTCCAATGCTATTAGTAATTCAATCAGATGGGAGTGTGGTGAAGGCCTTAGAATGAACTCCAGGTCAAAGGTGGGGAACCAAATAGCATGATGCCGCCCAAAGACCCAGAGAGACATTGCCAGGGGCAGAGCCAGGGGTCAGGATGGGGCAGGGGTGGACCTAGATTGGAGGAGCAGCAGGAAGGCTGGAGCATCAAGGCTGGGAGGAGGGTGAGAGAAGGGAGACACTGAGAGCATGAAATGTAACATGGTCATGGACTTGCAGAAGACCCGTGAGTAGGAGAGGGATATTTCTTCCCTCCCTGATTTGATCCCATCACTGATGGGCATAGTGGGCCATGGGTGACTGTTTCCCCGACACCATGCCTGGGAAATGGGGAGTTCTGGGCTGCCATTTGAAACCTTCTTCTGTTCTACATAGAGTAGAGGCAATGTTTCTTCAGGCCAACTTCCAGAGTGGGGACGAGTGGCTTCAACTGGTGTAATTTGAAGGGTTCTCGGAAGACTCACAAGTCCCCAACCAAAGAGAAAAACACTTTCTCTACCATCTTGTCCAAATGCAGGTCTTTTCAGCATTAGTGATTTATAGAGATGATTTTCAAAGTCCTCATGAGTCCTCAAGAGCTTCCATGAAATTGTACAGGGCCTTGACCTGTATACACATGAAGCTGTCACCTGCTAAGGCATTAGTTTGGCTGGTGACATGTGAGAGTGAGACCCTGAAGTTTGGAGGTGCCAGGTCAGGAGGCAGTAAGGTGGCTTGAGAGTTTGTGTGCAGCCAGGACTAATAGCCAGGTCTTCCACTTTTCAGTCATAGGTGGCAGTGGCTGGACCCAGTGGCCTTTAGTCAGAACGTCAAAGGGCATGAGGCATTGGAAGAGAGAACATGCCAGGCAAATTGACACCTTCTAGTCTGAGGTTGTGTTTGAATTCTTAAGGACTCAGATTTAGGTGAACTGCAACGTTCGAGTGCACCCTTACTTCTGACACCAGTTGCAAACTTGAGGGGCTTTCTTAAGCCCCCCTCAGGTTGGATAATTCACTACAAGGACTCACGTAACTCACTGATAACTGTTATTGCACGATTGTGGTTTATCACAGGGAAAGAACACAGATTAAGGAAGAGACATACAGGGCAGAGTCTGAGAGGGTTTCAGTTGTGAAGCTTCATTGTCCTCAGGAGGCTGTGTTCTCCTGTGTCAATGTGGAACAAAACACATGGGGTGTTGCCAACCAGGGAAGCTCACCCAGTTAAGGAAAAATTCCTATGAATCACATTAAATCAGGAAGGAAGCCTTTATTCAGGATTGTTGTTACAGGGGAGGGAGACTGAGCCCAGCTCCCAATACAGTAAAGTCAGAGGGGGAGTCACAGCCAACACCAGGGTAAGGGGCGGCAGATGGAACAGGACTGACAGGAGACACCAGAGTGGGGGGTTCCTGCTAAACTGGCCTAACAGGATGCTCCCTAAAGGCAGGTCAGACAGTCGCTTATCAAATGAATGGGTGAAGACCGTGATCAGAGAGCAAGTGTGCTCAGACAGCAAGCTGGGGGGATCCTCTCTAAATTGACTTTGGGGGATTCTTGCTGAGCTGGGGCGGTGCAGGCCCAGCAAGCACGGGATGGGCATGGAAGGCCAAGGTCAATGTCTAGAGGAGAAGAGGCTCAGAACCGCCCAACTGAAGTTTGGCCAAGGAGTAAGTCTTTCTTAACTCATGACAATGCAGAGCTCTTCCTGGGGCTGGATCACAAGCTGCCGTCATGGCAGACATGGAGTCTCCAGCCCTTCCCCAAGGTCTAACCCCTTTAGTCCTCAGTTCCTCTGGAAGGCAGATGAGACACCTAATAGCCCTAAACGCCCATCACCCATCACATTGCTATACTGGCCTGTAGCCAAACCACCAGGGAAACAAAGACGTTCCTACCAGGCAGGACATTCCAGGGCCCCAGAGATCCCTTTCCAGGGGCCGAGGACAAAGGGATATGCTCTCTTCTAATAAAGTTAATTCATCACTGTTCTATGATCCTCTGAATGAAGGTCTTTTTGCTCTGAACCCACTTCTCTTTGTTTTTCTACAAAGTTTCCCCTCTCCACACACCCTGGTAGTGATGGCATTGACCTCCCTTGCATGAGGAGCCATCTTTATCAAACACATAGCCACTAAAGAGCATCGGAAGATGACTTTAACTTATTTTTTCCCATACTGAATAAGTACTGTGGCATATCTATGTTGTACAAAACATATTTAACCTTGAGTAGAATTATTATTATTATTTTTTTTTGAGATGGAGTCTCGCTCTGTCGCCCAGGCTGGAGTGCAGTGGCGCGATCTCGGCTCACTGCAAGCTCCACCTCCTGGATTCATGCCATTCTCCTGCCTCAGCCTCCCAAGTAGCTGGGACTACAGGCACTCACCACCACGCCTGGCTAATTTTTTGTATTTTTAGTAGAGACGGGGTTTCACCGTGTTAGCTAGGATGGTCTCGATCTCCTGACCTTGTGATCCACCCATCTCGGCCTCCCAAAGTGCTGGGATTACAAGCATGAGCCACCGCGCCCGGCCTTGAAAAGAATTATTTATCTTTTAGAACTTTACTTCCATTTGACTTATAGAAACAGCTCTGTGATTTATGCAGAATAGATCTTATTGAGCTCATTTTACAGGTAAGTAAGCTGCCTTTCTTAATCATCTGTCCTTTATTGGTACAGGGAAGAGGCAGATGCTCTCTATGAAGCTCTGAAGAATCTTACACCATATGTGGCTATTGAGGACAAAGACATGCAGCAAAAAGAACAGCAGTTTAGGGAGTGGTTTTTGAAAGAGTTTCCTCAAATCAGATGGAAGATTCAGGAGTCCATAGAAAGGCTTCGTGTCATTGCAAATGAGATTGAAAAGGTCCACAGAGGCTGCGTCATCGCCAATGTGGTGTCTGGCTCCACTGGCATCCTGTCTGTCATTGGCGTTATGTTGGCACCATTTACAGCAGGGCTGAGCCTGAGCATTACTGCAGCTGGGGTAGGGCTGGGAATAGCATCTGCCACGGCTGGGATC
Organism: Homo sapiens; assembly: GCF_000001405.40. NCBI lineage: Eukaryota > Metazoa > Chordata > Mammalia > Primates > Hominidae > Homo > Homo sapiens. The sequence goes on along the minus strand of NC_000022.11, from coordinate 36,191,569 downwards.
GCCTCCAGCATCGTGGAGAACACATACACAAGGTCAGCAGAACTCACAGCCAGCAGGCTGACTGCAACCAGCACTGACCAATTGGAGGCATTAAGGGACATTCTGCGTGACATCACACCCAATGTGCTTTCTTTTGCACTTGATTTTGACGAAGCCACAAAAATGATTGCGAATGATGTCCATACACTCAGGAGATCTAAAGCCACTGTTGGACGCCCTTTGATTGCTTGGCGATATGTACCTATAAATGTTGTTGAGACACTGAGAACACGTGGGGCCCCCACCCGGATAGTGAGAAAAGTAGCCCGGAACCTGGGCAAGGCCACTTCAGGTGTCCTTGTTGTGCTGGATGTAGTCAACCTTGTGCAAGACTCACTGGACTTGCACAAGGGGGCAAAATCCGAGTCTGCTGAGTCGCTGAGGCAGTGGGCTCAGGAGCTGGAGGAGAATCTCAATGAGCTCACCCATATCCATCAGAGTCTAAAAGCAGGCTAGGCCCAATTGTTGCGGGAAGTCAGGGACCCCAAACGGAGGGACTGGCTGAAGCCATGGCAGAAGAACGTGGATTGTGAAGATTTCATGGACATTTATTAGTTCCCCAAATTAATACTTTTATAATTTCCTATGCCTGTCTTTACCGCAATCTCTAAACACAAATTGTGAAGATTTCATGGACACTGATCACTTCCCCAATCAATACCCTTGTGATTTCTTATGCCTGTCTTTACTTTAATCTCCTAATCCTGTCAGCTGAGGAGGATGTATGTCACCTCAGGACCATGTGATAATTGCGTTAACTGCACAAATTGTAGAGCATGTGTGTTTGAACAATATGAAATCTGGGCACCTTGAAAAAAGAACAGGATAACAGCAATTGTTCAGGGAATAAGAGAGATAACCTTAAACTCTGACCAACAGTGAGCCTGGTGGAACAGAGTCATATTTCTCTTCTTTCAAAAGCAAATGGGAGAAATATCGCTGAATTCTTTTTCTCAGCAAGGAACATCCCTGAGAAAGAGAATGCACCCCTGAGGGTGGGTCTATAAATGGCCTCCTTGGGTGTGGCCATCTTCTATGGTCGAGACTGTAGGGATGAAATAAACCCCAGTCTCCCATAGCGCTCCCAGGCTTATTAGGAAGAGGAAATTCCCGCCTAATAAATTTTGGTCAGACCGGTTGCTCTCAAAACCCTGTCTCCTGATAAGATGTTATCAATGACAATGGTGCCCGAAACCTCATTAGCAATTTTAATTTCTCCCCGGTCCTGTGTTCCTGTGATCTCGCCCTGCCTCCACTTGCCTTGTGATATTCTATTACCTTGTGAAGTAGGTGATCTTTGTGACCCACACCCACACCCTATTCATACACTCCCTCCCCTTTTGAAAGTCCCTAATAAAAACTTGCTGGTTTTGCGGCTTGTGAGGCATCACGGAACCTACCGATGTGTGATGTCTCCCCTGGACACCTAGCTTTAAAATTTCTCTCTTTTGTACTCTGTGCCTTTATTTCTCAAACCGGCCAACACTTAGGGAAAATAGAAAAGAACCTACGTGACCATCGGGGCAGGTTCCCCGATACCCAATGACCCCAGAGCAGTGCAGCCACCAGGGAAGGTGAGCCAGACACAGGCCGGGACAAAACGCAGACATTTTTTAGGGGAATAAAGAGGGCGAGGTAAAGTTTATGGAACTCAGTGTTAGGAACTTTGGCATCTGTAGCTGAGCACAGCAGGGGAGGGGTTACTCAAGATGGCAAGTGCGCCAAGGAGAAGGCAGAAATGCTGGGGCCTGGAATAAGGGAGGAGAGGGGACTGGAGAGTGTGGGGAATGGAAAGAAGCAGTTTACTCTAGACTAAAGAGTATATTGGGGGAGGAAGAGAGGGAGGCACGTAGGAACAAGCAATGAGAAGACCAGGAAAAGAAAGAGCTGAAAATGGAGAAAGCCACAGTTAGAACTGTTGGATACAGGAGAAGAAACAGCGGCTCCACTAAAGACCCGCCCCCCGGTTGGATGTCCTTCCAAGAATGGAATCCTTCCCTGGTGATGGTCTCTCACCCTGTCTTACCAGCATCCACTCTCCCTTGTCCTCCCGGGGGTGTATCTGAGTCAGCCAGTGGCTTCTTGATGATGGTGGTGGTGGTTGTAGTGTGACAGGTCCCCTTTAGGTTATTTAAGGGTGCATGTCCCCTGCTTGAACCCTGAAGGCCGGGTAATGAGCCATTTCCATGGTGCCCAGCTGAGGACCAGGTGTCTCTGAGAATCCAAACATCCTGGAGAGTATCTGAGAACCAACCAAGTAAAAGTCTCGTTGCTCATATATAGTAGACAAAGAGCCAGAAAATTAACTGAAAAGCAGTTTAGACATTGGGGGAGGCTGGATCTCTCGAGCTGTCTTGCTGAGTGCCCTGTGTGTAAGTCCTAATAAACTTAGCTACTCGCCAAGCTGGACTTGTTTAAGTCATTCCTTGGTCTCATGGCTCCTTTCCCGCTTTGAGGGCAAGTTCCTGTCTCAAGTTTTTGTCCTAACAGTGGTAAAGGTGATTGTGGTGATGTCAGCAGACAGCAAGAGGACTTGACATGGGGTCGGCCCTGCTTGGGGCCAGCGTACACTGAGGGACCGATGACATTTCAATGAAACTCCAAATGCTATATTGGAAACGTTGATGTGTGAAGAAAAATAAAAGCAAAACCAGATGCCAGGAACAAGTCAAGGAATGTTGTGGTGCATTGAGGAGATGAACCAGCCTGCAGTCAAGAGACCCCATCTCTCTGAGCCTCAGTTTCCTCATCAGCTGGGAAAGGGGGGCTGGACAAGATGATATCTCACATCCACCTGGCCCTCTTCTCTTGTGTTCTAGAGACTTGTGTTCAAGCAACACTGACTGATGACTGAGCCTTTGTGTGTTGATATATGGGCTCCCCTAGGCTCTGGGTGCCTGACTTCTCTTCCTCATGATTCTTCTTCCAGGCTCTCAGGGAGCTAGGCCTCCATGGCCCCTTCTGCTTACTCTCCAGACTGCTCATTTCTCTGCGAACCCAGTGCCCAGTGGCCCCTGAAGCACTCAGGGAAAACTTGTAGACTTCTGGCTTGGCTCTAGTACAGGCGTGGTCCTGATCTAGCAGCCAGGGCCCAGGATTGACATGGGTCACATGAGGCTAAGATCAGAAGGGCCTGTATGTAGGTTGAAGGAAAATCCATGAGACATAGAGGGACAGAGAGAGACAGCCAGACAGCAAATACCCTCATCCAGTCTGCAAACACCCTCATCCAGTCAGCCTTCTCACTTCGCCCAGACTCCTGCAAAAGCTTCCAAAATGGTCTTCGCTGATACACAGCCCTTGCCGCTAGGCCAGCTCTTCCTCCACATTGGGCCAAGTTGACCCATAAAAACACAGATTTCATCAAACACCGGCTTCCATGTCTTCAATGGCTTCCTATTACTCTTAGCACAAAAGCCCAGAGCCTTCATGCTGTCTAATGTAGGCTGCTGTGGCCTGAGTTCCCCTGAAGGGAGAGCCCTAGGCAAGGCTCCCAGGCAGAGGATTTGTTTGGGAAGTGATTCTAGGAGCAGGACTGGGGTACTGGGAGGAGTGACACAGAGAAGGACAGAAGGCTGATGCCGGGAGAAATTCTTGATAGGGTCACCCATGTGGGCGACTGGAGACCTCCTGAGGAGTCTTCAAGGAGCGTCTTCAGAATGTTCCTCTACAGGGAGGAGAGAGGGAGGCCTGTAACCACTGCTCCTGTCCCCCATGGCCTTGCCCCAGTGGACATTAATTATCTGTATTTCCATGCATAGAATATAGAACTGCTGGGCGCCTCAGCTGGAGCCCAGAGCAGGGGCAAGAGATACAGAATGCACAAAATCACCCCAGAACCTCTCCTAAGTCACTCGTAAAGTGCACCCAGGGCCTACTTAGTCCTTTTTTATGTAGCATCCTGCAGAACACTTGCCTCAGTCCCTGTAACTCTCCATCAGCCAAGGCTTCCCTGACCTTCAGTTGATTCATCTATTTCTTCCTGAAGAAGTCAACAGAGCAACGGCCACCGACTTGCCTAACGCCAGAACATTGTGTTTCATTTGTCTGTCAATTGTTCATCAATTCCTGGATAATTCCCATTCTTTTCATACATTTCACTTAAGCTTTGAATGTTTCTGGCACTGAGTAATTTACTTCTTCAGTGATCCAGCCAGCATTTGCCCTGACACTTAGAGTTGAAATGCCATCAGGCTACCTGCATTTGATGCAATTCCACTGTACTGCTAGTATTGTTTAAAAATTTTTCAATTGCAAGCAACAGAAACAGAAACTATCTGTCTTAAACAAAATAGAAGATTCATTGGATGAAAACTAGAGCAGGTCAGAGGATGGAAGGAAGAACAAAATCTACAGAATTTGGAAGGACAGGAGCAGACCATTACCAACATCAGGAATATATGGTTTGCCCTTTCAGGGCTCTGCCTGCACCTGGCTTAGCTCCACACACTTTGATTCCTAGTGTCTCTGATTAAAGTTTCACATTCTCAAATGAGAGGATAGCTTGGGTCAGTGACTGTTCTTGAACCAATCAGTCAGGCTATGGTATCAGGAACAGCGATGAGTAACAGAGACACAAACCCTAATGGGAAGCCTCTGGCCAAACAGTCACCTGAATTTGTGCTTATTGTATATAGTCAACTGCTTGCTACCACACACACGTACCCTTCTTCTCATACAAACAAAAAGAACCCTTTTCGACTGGGCACAGTGGCTCACGCCTGTAATCCCAGCACTTCGCGTGGTTGCAGCGGGCGGATCATTTGAGTTCAGGAGTTCAAGACCAGCATGGCCAACATGATGAAACCCCGTCTCTACTAAAAATACAAAAATTAGCCAGGCATGGTGATACATGCCTGTAATCCCAGCTACTCAGGAGGCTGAAGCAGGAGAATTGCTTGAATCCGGGAGGCAGAGCTTGCAGCGAGCTGAGATCACGCCACTGCAGTCCAGCCTGGTGAAAGAGCGAAACTCCGTCTCGAAAAACAAACAAAAAACTCTCTTTACCTGTTATGAATCCAGCCATCCGAACGACAAAGACAAATGCACTTGCTTCTTCTCCAAAGAGAGCCACACACACCATCGCCCTCTTCTGCATGCTGAAGTTATGTCACAGGAGGAAGGCCTCGGCACACTGTCAATTTTTCTCTTGGTCCATTGGCAGCTCCTATCTCAGCATTTTCTGTGTGTATATTTGTAGGAAACAGAGAGGTGCGGTCAAGGCTACAACCACCACTGACCATTGCTGCCACCGTCACAAGTCTTTGACTGTTCCACTCAATGTTCCTCTTACTTATGGGCGAAGTCATTCTTGTGGGGTCTAAGCTCCTTGATGGTCTGGCCTCAGTAAGGTGGTGAAATTTCCTATTCACCTTTACAACTTGTTAGAGTATTACAAGGAGCAATCCTAGGGGATCCCTCGATTCCTCATGTCCTGCTGTGTAGTAACAACATGAGCTTCCCTGGATGATCATGATCCATGATTATATCTAACCCAGTGACGTCATTGCTATCCCTACATCAGGGAGCATGAGAAGCCAGCTATGGGCACCTCTGAAACCACTTTTGTCAGCCTTGCAGGAGGCATTCCCACCTTAGATACTGAAACTTCTAGACTTAAAAGTCTCTGAGTTAGGGGTATTGTAAACAAGATTTTTGAAAGTGACTTATTGTTTGTAACCATAGAGCTATCACCCTCATCTTAACCTCTTACTGTCCAGCTCCATAAATTCTGGCTATCACAGGAAATGAGGTAAATTTTGGGTATGAATTCAAAACATAGCACATCCTAAAGGCAGTTCCCAGCCTCTGACATGGAACTGAGTCCCCTTCGGGCCATTTCCATGCTCTCTAAGGCTGTGACTTCCGGGGTTGAGATTCACTGGACGATGCCAAGTGCTCAGCCTTGAGGAGGGATCCGTGTTGCGTGGTTACACCGAGCTCCACATCACGCACCTGGTTATGGAGCCCATTCTGAAAATACCGGGCCGCCCTGGGAACAGAGGAGACTTGCAGCCACAAAAGTGACTTCTTCCCTGTATATGAGTCTCTTGAGAGTGGAGACTTTCTAGTCAGTATTCACATGGGACAGGGGTAGTTTTTTTCTCTTTCTTTTTTTTGCTCTGGGCTCATTCTAAAATCTTTATCTGTATACCTCTTCCCTAAATATCTTTGTCACCAAGCCTCCAGACGTATTCCTTCTAAAATGCTGAACTTACAGCCAAATCCTCAACTGTTACCCAGCAAACAAGGCAGATCCTTCCCGAGGACACCTCTCCTTCCAGGCAGCCTGGACTGTGAGGTGTGCTCCACTGCTCTTCAGGAACCATCCCTGAGAGGTGTTCCACAGCAGGCCAGGCCTGGTGGGAGCAGGTGGGCCAGGAGGAAAGCACAGCAGAATTTGAGAGATGTTGAGTACTCATAACTCAGTGTAAGCACCTGCATTCAGCCCTCATGGTCTGTGAGTTATGTATCTCTATTTAGTTTTCACAAATTAGAGTTAGGGGTCTGCCTTGTACAATCAAAGATGTCAATATTTAGAACCAAGAGATGGAACAAACTTGTTTCACAGCAGGGAACTCTTCCGCATCTATTTTCCTCTTCCTACTTTGGGCGTTTGCCAGCATGTGTAGTCATAGAGAGAGGCTGGGCCCATTTCCCTCTGTGATTCTAAGGCAAGTAGATTCTCCCACTCCCTACCCCCACTCTGGCATCCAGGGCTCCTGTCCAAGAGCTAGGCTGGCTAATTGGCTGCTTCCACATGGGATTCTGAAACTGGAGCAAGTGAGGCAAAGCCCAGGGTGCTTAGAACCCATTCTCAGTGAGAGCAGCAGGACTGCCCAGGAGGAGAATAGAGAAGAGGGCGACCGAGTCCTGCACCTGCAGAGATGATGTCCGCAGGTGGCGGGGCAGCGCTGTGGCCGTGTCACTCCTCACAAAGCAGGGCTCTTGTGCTCGCAGCCTTGATACCGTGTCACTGTCTTGGCTTCTTTTTATCTTCCAAGCCAAACTCCAGCCTCCTCTGCAGGTGGGGCTCTTCTGATATGATTCCAGTGAATTTCATGTTGTTTTCTGCCCTTAAAAACCAGAGATGGTACCTCTGCTTGACCAAGAAGCCTGATTGATAGAGACTGAGAGCTGCAGGCTGTGTTTATTTGCTTCATTAACAAGAACACCTTAGGAATGGCAGCTTCTACTGATGAGCTTCCTGCTTTGTTCTGCTGTTGGAAGACAAACAGTTGTTTCCCTGCTGACGACTGGCTGCATTGAAGAGGTGAACAGGTGAGTCACAGGAATCACTGCTTCTGCTCCCTTTAAACCTTGATGATGGCAGCAATCTCTCTAACTCCTCCATGAATTTGCTGTTGACTCTGATTAAAATATTTAGGCAGGTATGTAAAACCAACGGCTTCCACCGGCGTCTGTCACTGAAATAGTCATCATCCGTGGGTCTACGTGAACAATCTGAAGCTTCCAAGAATATGCATTCCAGTTATCCACCCAGGAATTTAAAAAATAATAACCAGGTGATAGACTTATTGAAAAGTAAACTGAAATCAGATATTCATTCATTACTTGTTCCCTGTAACCCCCCCTCTGACTGGAACACCACAGTGGCACTCTGGGTCATTATGGGTCCCAGGAATTGGTGTCAGTCTGGATGGGATCCAACAGTCCTGGGGATGGGTTTCCTTTAAGCCGTCCCCTGTGATCTGAGGGGACGCTCCAGGTCCAGGGAGAACAGGTAGGAGGAACGCTCACAGGCTGCACTTATGGGAAATGACGGGGCCTTTTGCAGACTCCTGGCCTCCCTTTCCTTCAAGGGCTCTGGGTCTGTGCTATGAGTCAGGCCTGAGAATTGAGTGACAAGCAGGGGCCATCCAGCATGATGACCTGTGACAGGTGCCTGCTCACCAGACTGGGGGTTTTGCGAAGTCAGTAGACTGTCCACCAGCTCTGTTGCTGGATTCTGCATGTGGAACGTCCCTGAGCCCAGATCATGCGCCCTCCCTGCTTCTTGACCTGGTGTCCACACTCTTTTCTTCTGGCCACCACCTGCCTCACCCTAGGGTTTGCCTCTTGGAATTTCTCCCACCCTAAAGAGACCAGGGTCCTAGCCCCTCCCCCATTCTAGAGAGCTCTAGAGAATATCCACTGATTCTTCTCATCAAAGGAAAGGGGAATCTCCTGGGCCCTGGCAGCACACAGTCAGGGCAGAAAGCGCCTGAGAAATCCAGTCTAACCCTCCGGTCTCCTATACACTTGACTCCTTCTTCTTTATCATGCCAGGTAATTTCTGGCCTTTTGGTGTCATAGAGAGGTGGCCAGCATTTACTCAAGGGTTGCATGGCCAGTCCTGGGCACAATTAGAATCTAAGCCAGCTGTTGGGGCGAAGTGTGTTAGCTCATGACAACTATGGAAAGGAATCCACATGATGCTCCCCTTTCCTTGCCAACCTCCCTCAGACCCCACCCTGCAAATGGTCTCCGGCTCTTTGGAGCTTTGACAGCGAGCTCCTTCTGCTGCAGCGCCTCACTCCTTTCCATTCTGCAGTTCAGTCTTGGGCCACAATGACTTGAACGCAGGCTGTCTAGAAACAGAGAGTGGGGCAGGAGCAGACAGGAACAGAGTTGGAGCAGCTTCCTCTAGCGGGGCCTGTACCTCAGAAAAGCCCTTAGACATGGCTACGAGTTGGGATTCTTCAAACTCCTTGATATCCCCATCGTAATTTTCTTGATGCAACTTGTTTTAGGCTGAATAACAGCCCCCTACAGATGTGCATGTCCTAACCCTGGGACTTGCGATTATATCACCTTCCATCATAAAAGGGACCTTGCAGTTATCGTCCAGATAAGGATCTGGAGATGGGAGATTATTTGGGATTCTTTAAGTGGGTCCAATGTAACCACAAGGGTCCTTCTAAGGCAGAGACAGTAGGGTGAGAGGGAGAAAAGGAGATGAGATGATAGAAGGGGAGAGAGACTGGGAGAGATCGGAGGATGCTACAAGGCTGACTTTGAAGAGGAAGGAAGGAGACAGGAGCCAAGGCCAGCAGTTTCCTCCAAGAGCTGGAAGAGGCAATGGAATGGCTTCTTCTTCCAGAGCCTCCAGAAGGAACGCAGCTCTGCCCACACCTTGATTTTAGGACTTCTGAGCTCCAGAAGAACTTCGTGTTGGTTTGAGCCACTGTGTCTGTGGTGCTTTGTTACAGCAGGGGAGGAGCTAACACACCACTCTCTCCCTATCAGGGCCCTCATGTGCGCTTAGAAGATCTGGCGAGGACGAAATTTATCATGTAACCAGAAACCTACAGAATTTGCTTTTCATAGGAAAGTCAGCCAAAAATATCAACAGCCACAATTTATCAGACGCCTTCAGGAAAAATGTCAAAGCCAGGCATTTGTCTGAAGTGACCTATCCTGCTTCAGGTCCCAGCGTTCCTTGCCCCTTTCCACAAGATGACAGCAGGTGCTCCCCGGAATGCTGGGGTTGGGGGTGGCTCACTGTTGCTCTGCCCTCCTCTCAGCCTGAAAACTTATTCCAAATATGCCAATCATCTGAGGGCCTGTGATCTGCAACCAACTCTTTGGGACAATGTTTGTATCAGTTAACATTTTTTTTTTGAAGCAAGGAGAGCGCAAAGCAAAACAAAGTCAAAAGCAAATGCAAGAACAAAAGTGAAGCGAAAGCTTTTTAAAATCCTCTGGCTAACTCTGCAGTAGAGACATGTATTGGAAGAATCCAGAGAGAAAGCTCACAGAATTAAATAAATAAAGAAATCTATGGGTGTGCACACACACATGTATGGACAGACACACACACACACACACACACACACACACACACACAGGCAATTTTAAAGCCAGGTTTAGGGAAGACCAGGGATCCGGAAAGCCTCAGGGGTGTCAGCAGTGGGAAACCAGCTCCTCTTCAGGCCTCAGCTCCACTGCCTGCTGCCTCTAAGGGTTTTCCTTCAGGTCCTCCAATTTCCTGGGAAGAGACTCCGATGGGCCCCAGGGGACCATCAAGCCCGCATCCATGCTGTTCCTCAGACAGTAAAGCAACTGCAGGTTTTCCTAGGTTTACTGGGCTACTGGAGGATATTCATTCCTCATTTGGCACAATCCCTTTGCCCATTATACACTCTAATAAAGAAAGGTGAAACAAATGGGACTGGACAGATATGGAGCAAGAGGCTTCTGACAAAACAAAATATGGGTGAAACAAGCTCAAGCAACAGGAGCCTCATGACCACAGCACCCTCTTGTACTGGAAGTCACTAGAGACGCCACTGACCTGAGTTGGAGTTTGTCGCAAATGCAACCCACAGGAATGGTACCTGTAGGGTTTCAGTCTCAACTGTGGAAGGGAGCAGAATCTCACTTTACAGTGCTGGAGCAGCAGCTATTGGCCATGTATAGGACATTGCAACGAGCAGAGGCCATCGCCAGAAAGCAGACTGTCCCAGTAAAGACTGCCTACCTTATACAAGGGTGAATGGAAGGTCTCCTAGCCAAGCCCGCCTCCCGGGGTGGCACAACCACACATCCTACAGAAATGCCATGCCTCTCTGCAACAAAGGGATGCCCTGTCCACTAGTCCTTTAAGTCAAGTACTACAGGACGTGCTTGAAAGAGCGGACATGGCAATAGATCCACCTACCATGCCAACTACCATATATGAGGCGACCCTTACGATATCTGCCAGGCAAACACATGGAACTAGCAAGAGCACCTAACACTTACGGTCAGTGCTGACGGTGCAAATGGATACTGACACCATATGGATAGAATGGGGGTAACGACAAAGCAGTCAATGGGCTGCTTACAGTTGGGAGGTTTGGGGCAGGCCCCTTTGAGGGCCTGTCCATGTGGCAGAATATCCACGTCAGGTGACAAAAGAATGATGTGCATCTTATGGTGTACCATGTTGATGCACATAGTCCTAAGCTGTCTCCTGGAAATCAGGAGGCAGGCGCCCTTAAGCATGTTCCCATGGTTTGCTGGAGCCCATTGTGGGAGGCTGCCATGTGGCTACCTTATAAGAGCGACCACCAGGGGGCAGCCATGAGGTGGGCCAAAGCAAAGACTGTAGGCTTCCCTGCCCACTGTGCAGATAATCTAGCAGCTGTTCAGAACCCCGGGACCTGTTCATGGCTGCGACTAGAAAGGTTCCCTCCACACCGGGTCACATACATCGAGCCATACAACCTGTGCGGGACTGGCGAGTCGATTTTATTGGCCCCCCCGCCCCAGAGCGGAGGGAAACGGTATGACTTAACCTGTGTGGATACAACAATGAGGCTACTACAGGCCTTCAGTGTAAAACGTGCCACCCAACTGGAGACCATGAAGCGTCTCACCGCTCTTAGTGTCACGAATGGCATGGCTAAAAGGACAGATAGAGGTCAGGGCCCCCTTTCATGGGCCATGATTTCCAGCACTGGGCATCAGAACAATCCATAGACTGGAGGTTCCACAGCTCATGTAACCCACTGGGGCAGACCTCAGTGGAAGAGTGCCCTGCTAAAGACCCACATATGAGCACTGTCCCAGGATGGCTCTTGGGGGTCCTAGACTAAGAATCTCCCTGAAACCATGAAAACTTTGAATGAGTCACTCACTACCAAGCATGGCCTCACTCCCTATGAATGTTGCCGAGGCTGGTCTCGACCTCCTGGCCTTAAGCAGTCCACCCACCTCAGCCACCCAAAGTGTTGAGATTATAGGTGTGAGCCACCATTCCCGGCCTGGGTTTGGCCTTTTATGGGGATTATGACTAGCATATTTATTTCTAATCCTTTCAGATTAAGAGACAGTGTAAGGCGATTACTATAATTACAGTTTCTATAAAAATAGTGAATAGGATAGTGAGGAAGATTAGAGAACTGATTAGTACAGGAAGGGTATAAACCAGCATATTTTGGGTATGGGCCTGATAACTTATTTAGCTGCCATTACCATAGGGTAAGCTGCCCTTACTTATTAGCTGCTATTACTATAGGACATGGTGTATCAGATAGCATGGAGAATTTTGACTTCTTAGGACTAGTTTCAATTCCTGTAATTCTAGAAATAGGAAGATTTAAACCTCTGTAATTTACTCTGTCAAAGTAACTCTCTTATCAGACATATTTCCCATGTTTGTGGCTGAATACTAGATATTAGGACAGATATTTAAACATTCTGTATGCATAGGGCTAGAGTAAGGAATAGAAAGTTTTTTCACGGGAAGATGCATAAGTTGATCATATCAAACTCATAGGTCTGATGCCCTGATTCACAGAAACAGGGTTCTCAGTAGGAGAGTTTGGTAATGGAATTAATTGTATAGATTTTTGCTATAAAGACATCATGTAGTACTCCTGGAAAAATAATAGTAGTTAGGACATTTATTATAATAATGTTAGTATATTCTGCTATGAAGAAACAACCAATGAACCTGCAGCATATTCAACATTGAAGCCGGGCCGGGCGCAATGGCTCACTCCTGTAATCTCAGCAGTTTGGGAGGTCGATGCAGGTGGATCACATGAGGTCAGGAGTTCCAGAGCCAGCCCAGTCAACATGGAGAAACCCCATCTCCATTAAAAATACAAAAATCAGCTAGGATGGTGGTGTGCACCTGTAATCCCAGCTACTCAGGAGGCTGAGGCTCGAGAATCGCTTGAGCCCAGAGGCAGAGGTTGCAGTAAGCCGAGATCGCACCATTGCACTCCAGCCTGGGTGACAGAGTGAGACTTTGTCTCAAAAAAAAAATTAAATAAATAACTATACTGAAGCCTGAGACTAGCTCTAAATCACATTCTGCTGGTCAAATGGGGCTCGGTTAGTTTCTGCTAGTGTTGAGATGAATTACATTATGGACAGGGGTCATGATGGTAAAATCAATCATGCAGATTATTGTGCAAGAATAAGAGATGATAAAGTGGATGACCCACTTATCAAGGGGACTGATAAAAGAATAATTAATAGATGGGGTGACTTCCTGTGAGATTGTTTAAGCAGTATACAGGCTGAGTTACCAAGAGATGCTGAGGTATATCGGAGCTTATTGAATATAGAACAGGCCCCTCTCGAGAGCTGTAAAGCATCGCCATGTCCTTTGAGGCTTAAGCTATTGCTTATAGTGCTCTGGTAAATAATTCTGTTTATTAAATTATTTAAGTTTATGGCTAAGCACAGTGAGAGATTTAGTCCCAGTTTGGGCCTTAGCTATCATGTTCTCAGGATACTAAAATCATTGTTGTAGTTTCTTTTTATTTTAGCTTGAGCTTTTCATGGCTCGGTTTAAAGTTTAGCTTTATTATGAGAATTGCCTTAAACACGCTGAATGCTTGTTTTTGTGAGTTTGGGTTAATTGTATGACTCCGGTAGCTGGCATGAAATTTACCAACCCTAATAGTTTAGTATAGCTTAGTCAAACTTTCATTTATTGCTTTTTTTTTTTTTTATCACTGCTGTTTCCCGTGGGGTCGTGGTTGAGCAAGGTGTTATGATGTAGGGCTGTGCACTTAGTACCTGCTCCTTTTGAAATTAGATGATCTGGAGGGCGTTTTCACTGGAATCCAGATGCTTACATGTGTAATCTTATTAAAACCCAATAAAAAGACCAGAACTATGCCTTTGTGTTTATGGAGTTACATGAACTAACCTAGGCATTTTCAGTGCCTTGTTTTAATATCATAAGCTACATTAATTCGGATCTAGACAATTTTCTCTCTGTTACAAAATGAAGGGTTGAAGTACTATGCTAGTTATTAGGGCAATATTTAGTAACTTTAGAAATAAAAAGTGGGATTTTTAGCCTAGATAGCCTGGTTTTTATTTTACAATCATGTGTTTTTGAAATAGGTTTAATTGAAAGTTTGGCTAAAATGTAATTGTAGTTGAGATTACAATTTGATTTGGAGTGTGAGCCCTGGCTGTCATTGATGTTATACATATCTTGTTTTTGGGCTTGGCAAGAACAAACAATTTTTTTTGGCATAATTAGGTTAGTCCAGGGAAAAGGGGGCAGGGGAGTTTGAGGAGTAAATCAGATACATGTTTGGAGAAAGGGTGAGCTTGAACGTGCATTTTCTTTTCATGATATCTGTCAAGCATGAATAAATTAGCACCTTGTGGTTGTAAGTGTTGACTCGTAATATTCCATTAAACTCCAGCTACAATGGAGTTGGCTGGGTTCAGGCTCCCACCATGCTGAGTCATAGCATCTCCCAATTTAAAAACTACCAAATACATGTCAGTACTTCTGCAAGTGACCATGAGGTGATTGTCACTAAATCATTGAGGTGTCTTATTTAAGAGGAACAAGTGGACGATCTTAGTCTCCATGGCCCTGAAGGAAGAACCAGATGCCAGGTATAGTTGCAGTCTAATTACCCCCAAGTGTCATGGGCCGGGAGTAAGAAGGATAGAACTTTCCAAGCAGGCTGCTGATTTCTCAAAGCTTGTTAGTTAAGAATGTTTTTAGGAGGTGATAAGCGTGTTGCTGAGAAATGATTTGACTTGAATGTGCTATGATTCATAAATAACTGAATGTCCTATGCAATATTAAGGGATTATTATACTGGATGATATATATGTATGTTAATCGCTTTCTGCAGAATGTTTGATGAATGTATGACAGGTTGCTGTGACATTATTACTCCTGCTAAATATTCATGGAGGTGAAGATTTAAGGTACGATACATAAATATACAATATACGATCAGGCACATCTAGTACTAGCATGTTAATTCATGGGGTCAAGCAGGAATGCATGATGTACATAGTTGCAACAGTAATTTATGTGGATTTTCCAATCTGACATAGCAGTTAAAATAAATGTATTGCACTTCAAGTACAAAAATCAGGGAATAGTTTAAGTAGAATTTCAGCTTTGGGTGCTGGTTGTGGAGCAAGAAGCTTCTTCCTGGAAATGGTCCCAAGGAGCCGGGTCCTCCATTTTTGGTTTACAGACCAGAGTCACTTAATGATACTACAAGGACTTCTTCATTTGAGTAGCTCGTTTTCGATTAGGCTAGTAATTGGTATAAAAAGAAGGATAAGGGAAAAGTACACAATGGATGCTGCTTGGCTCATAATAATAAAGAGGTGTTCAACAGGTTGGCCCCCGATTCATGTAAGTGTAAGAAGGTCTGCTACTAGAATTCAGAACAGACATTGACTTAATGGTCAGAATATTATGCCTTGTTGTTTAGATATGTGAAGTGTTGGAACAACAGCTAGGATAAGAATGGAGAAGACAAGGGCCAGCATGCCTCCTAGTTCATTAGGAATGGAGTGTAGAATTGCATAGGCAAATGAAAAGTACCATTCTGGTTTAATGTGGAATTACATAGGCAAATGAAAGTTGCCATTCTGGTTTCATGTGGAATTGCATTGGCAAATGAAATACACTACTGTGGTTTAATGTGGAATTGCATAGGCAAATAGAAGACACCCTTCTGGTTTAATGTAGAATTGCATAGGCAAATGAAAGGCACCATTCTGGTTTAATGTCGGGTGGTGTGTTGAGGAGATTTGCTGGAGTGTAATTGTCTGAGTCTCCTAATAGGTCAGTTGAGAACAGTACTGATATGAGTAGTAATATTAGAAGGAGAATTAGATCCAAGGTGTCTTTGATTGTAGAGCAGATGTGCAATGGAATTTGGCAAGAGTCTGATGAGTGAAATTTTCGTTGATGCACAAGGCAGATGGTTAGGAAGGTTGAGCCATTGATGACGTGAAGTCCATGGAAGTCTGTAGCGATAGAGAATGTTGAGCCATATATGCCATGAGAGGTGGTGAAAGGTGCCTGGAAGCATTCTGAGGCTTGGAAGAGTGTAAAGTAAATATCCAGGGCAATCGTAATGGATAAGGTTTGGAGTATGTGTTTTTGGTTTTCTTCTTTCAAACTATGATGGGCTCAGGTAATTGATACTCCCAAAGCTGAGAGAATGGATATGTTGAGTAGGGGCACTTCGAAGGGGTTAAGGAGGTAAATACCTGTTGGAGGTCAGCAGCCTCCGAGTTCTGGGATTGGGACCAGGCTTGAATGCTCAGAAGAATCCAGCAGAGAAAACTACTTCTGATGGGATAAATAAAATTATTCCATATCTAAGGCCCTTTCGGACAATTGACAAGTGGTGGCCATGGAATGTGCCTTCTCTGATATTGTCTCATTATGATTGATACATTGTTAATGTATTAGTTACTAGGCCTAGGGTTAATAGAGTAATTGAGTTCGAGTGGAATCATATGGCTAAGACAGATGTTGTAATGAGTGCCTTTCAACAAGTGTTACAGTAGTTATGAGCGCCCCTGTGAATGGCCAAGGGCTGAAGCTTACTCTATTATATGCTTGGGTTTTGTAGGTCGTAAAGTACTATCATGTGAGTAGAGGCTCACTAGAAGTGTAAAAACCACTGAGTATGGTGTCTCACACCTATAATCCCACTTTGGGAGGCCAAGGCAGGTAGATTGCTTGAACCTAAGAGTTTGAGACCAGCCTGGGCACATTGATAAAACCCCATCTAACCAAAAAATAAAAAATAAAAAAATAGTCAGACATGGTGACATGAAACTGTAGTCCCAGCTACTCCAGAGGCTAGGCTGGAGGACTGCTTGAGCCCAGGAGTTGGAGGCTGTAGTAAGCCAAGATCATGTCACTACATTTCAGCATGAGTGATAGAGCTAGACTCTGTCTCAAAAAAAAATTGTAAAAACATATGCTTGGATTAAAACCATGGCAAATTCAAGAACGGCTAGTAAAATCAAGGTAATAAATGGGACTGAGGCTGTGGGTAGGCTAATAGATGTTGATACTAAGATGGCACCTCCAGTTAAATGTATAATTTACATTTACAGTTGTAATATTGGCTGTCAATCATATGGGTAAGGCTATTGGTTGAATGAAAAGGCTAATGGTTTTGACGATGACTAGAAAAGAGAGAAGTTAAATAGGCATTCCTTGTGGTAGGAAATAAGCAAGGGATGCTTTTGTTTTGTGACAAAAACCAGTAATTACTGCTCCTGCTCATACTGGAATAGCTATACCTAAATTTATTGAGAGTTGAGTAGTTGGTGTGAGTGGGAAGCCTCCTAGTAAATTAGTTGAGCCAATAAACAGAATACATGAAATTAGTATAAGGGATCAGCTTCATCCATTGGTATTATGTATTATTATCATTTGTTTTAATATGAGTTGAATTAGTCGCTGTTGAATGGAGATTAGCCAGTTGTTAATCAGGTGACTAGATGATAGAAATAAAATACTTGGAAATAGGAGATTATAACTACGGGTCTTCGTATTACTGTTAGGGCAATGAAAGGCAAATACATTTCCATTCATTTCATTTCTCAAGGAATTTCAAGTTTCTGTGATTCAAAGAATTTTAGTGTTGAGCTTATTGGGGAGATAAATTTTGAGAATTTTAATTGAAATAAGATAAAGAGTGATATGATTATACATAAAACCATAGTAAATAATGTAGATGTGTTTAGTTGGGACATTTTAATGTGGAGAAATCCTGGCTCTCGGTCTTTAACATAAAAGGTTAATGCTAATTAGCTTCACAGTGATATTATGATACAGAGGCTGACCAATTTTCGAAGTGCTTTAGGGGGACTAGTTCAAGAACAATGGGTATAAAGCCATGGTTGGATCTGCAGATTTCTGGGCATTGTCTGTAGTAAAGGTCTGGTCGTATAGATGTTAAGGTTGCTTGGTTTAAATGCCCTGGGATTGTAACGATTTTTAGGCCTATTGATGTGATGGTATGGCTCACAAATATAGGACATCTTCTGATGAAATTAACATATGAATTAATATTTCTATAGGGAGAACTACTCAACTGTCAACTTCAAGTAACCACAGCTCTCTTGATTTTAAGTCTGTTGTGGGAATTATGTAGGAGTCAAAACTTAGGTCTTCATAATCTGTATATTTGTAGCTTCAATATCATTGATGCCCTATAGTTTTGACAGAAAGGGAGAGATTATTAATTTCATCTATTATGTATTAGAACACATAATGATGGGAGAACAATTAAAATTAAGATACTAGCAAGCAACATAGTTCATATTGTCTCCACTTCTTGGGCATCTATAGTCTTGTGCAAGTTAATTTGTTAGTATCAGGGAAGTAATATAAAGTACTAATGAACGAATTAAGGAAATGATCACGGCCAGGCACGGTGGTGGCTCACGCCTGTAATCCCAGCACTTTGGGAGGCCGAGGCGGGCGGATCACCTAAGGTCGGGAGTTCAAGACCAGCCTGATCAACATGGAAAAATCCTGTCTCTAATAAAAATACAAAATCAGCCGGGCGTGGTGGCACATGCCTGTAATCCCAGCTGCGTGGGAGGCTGAAGTAGGAGAATCGCTTGAAGCCGGTAGGCGGAGGTTGTGTTGAGCCAAGATCGTGCCATTGCTCTCCAACCTGGGCAACAAGAGTCAAGAGTGAAACTCTGTCTCAAAAAAAAAAAAAAAAAAAAAAAAACAGAGAAAAGAAAATGACCACATGGGTGTGGTCATGAAAATGAAGGAGTTCTTCCTTCTATGATAGGTGACATAGCATCTTGGAAGCCTAGTTTAAATGGATATGCCATAAAGAGATAAATAATTTTAACCTACAAGTTAACTTTGACAAAGTTATGTAATTATTTTTACTAATACATTTTAATTGAGAAAGTCAGAGTGATTATGAAGCTCGTTTGGAACCAGTTTTAGGAGGTTTGATTCCTTCCTTTCTCGTCAAGGATTTTACGTAAGCTGGTTCTTCAAATGTGTGGTATGGTGGTGGGCAACCGTAGAGTCATTTGAGATTTGTAGTTGATACTTCAACTACTAAAACTTCTTCTTTTGAAGCAAAGGCTTCTCAGGTCATAAAAACGTATTAGTATGATTGCTGTTAGTGAGATAAATGAACTAATAAACCAGACAGTGTTTCATGTAGTATATACATCGGGATAATCAGAGTACTGCAGAGGCTTTCAGAATAACCCAAGGAAGTGCCGTGGGGAAAAGGTTGAGTTTACACCTGCAAAGATAAGAATACAGTGAAAATAGCTTAGCTCACTTTCTGTCTAGTGTGTAGCCTGAGAACAGGGGGAATCCATGCATCCATGGTTCAGTAATGACCTTAGTTAAGCGTTATTGGTTTCACTCAGGAGGTTATCTTTTGTATAAAAGTTAAAAAGCCAGAAATATCAGCTGTTTGTCCTGGCTAAAATCTGATAAGGAGTAATTTGTGTGGAGTCCTAATAAGATAAGTAAGCAACAACGAGGAAGGGGCCCCAGGTGGGGGAGAACAATTGTTCTGAGAGACAGCTGATCACAGACAACCAACTAGCATGACATCCTGTTCCCAAATACCTCACTCCGCATGTAGCCCCAGCTGCACCTCATTCCACAGGTAGCCTCCAGTACAACCCTATGAAACTTCCCTTCAGCCCCTGACACTTTGCAGACGTCCCTTCTTTGCTGTGCTGACCATTGCACTTTTGCAATGTGTCTTTGTACTTTCTCTAATAAATCTGTCTTTCTTTACCCATGACTGTCTTGGGTAAATTATTTTACTGTCCACAATATTGGTCCCAGTCAGTTATACCTGTGACAAAAGGTAGGATGTGTTTTTGGTAAAAACGTTATAAGAGGCACAGGAATGTGGGTTTTGTTAAACGTAATTAGCCGGGCGTGCTAGCTCACGCCTGTCATCCAAGAACTTTGGGAGGCCAAGGTGGGTGGATCACGAGGTCAGGAGATGGAGACCATCTTTAGTAGACACGGTGAAACCACGTCTCTACTAAAAATACAAAAAATTAGCCGGGTGTGGTGGCACGCCCCTGTAGTCCCAGCTACTCAGGAGGCTAAGGCAGGAGAATCACTTGAACCTGGGAAGCGGAGGTTGCAGTGAGCCGAGATCGTGCCACTGCACTCCAGCCTGGGCGACAGAGCGAGACTCTGTCTCAAAAAAAAATAATAATAATAATAATAATAATGTTATCTAGTTTAGAAGTTTTTAAGGATTATTTCAAGTTAAATGAAAAACAGGACCAAACCAAAGTTTTCAGCCAATTATAGAAGGTGTGTGGAAGATTATTCTTGTAAAAAGAATTTGTTTGTGATCAAGGTGGCAAAATTGTAATGGGGATTATTTACTTTTCCTATAAATTGAAAATTAATATAAATACCACACTGATGAAAGGTCAGAATCTGAGCCACTGTATGAGAATAACAGGGCTTTCTTGGAGCATTGATCTGCTTTTTAATAGAAATTGAAAAGGTTATAAAATATTTATAAAATATTTTACCTTAAGATGTAACTAATTAAAATTTGACAGATTTGTTTCTAAGATATTAAAATTAACTTTAGTGTTAAGCAAAGGTAAATTTGGGCTTGCTGCTTTGAACAAGATTTTCATGTAATATTACAAGATAATAAAAGACGTCTGTTTGCTTTTTGAATAAACTACAAAAAAGCTGGTAGGGAGAGAAACAGATTCCACTGGCCTCATGCTGTTTATTTATTTTTTTGCGGTGGAGTCTCACTCTGTTGCTCAGGCTGGAGCGCAATGGCGTGATCTCGGCTCACTGCGACCTCTGCCTCCCGGGTTCCAGCAATTCTCCCTGCCTCAGCCTCCCGAATAGCTGGGATTACAGGTGCCCACCACCGCGTCTGGCTAATTTTTGTATTTTAAGTAGAGACGGGGTTTCGCCATGTTGGCCAGGCCAGTCTCGAACTCCTGACCTCAGGTGATCCGCTTGCCTTGGCCTCCCATAGTGCTGGGATTACAGTCATGAGCTGCCATGCCCGGCCCATGCTGTCTTTATGAGGTGTTATTGTGTGGGAAACTGAGTCTTCTCTCTCTCAAGGTGTAAACATTTCTATGTTTTTGAAATATTTAAGTTATCTCTTTGGCCACACGAATGACTTACTTTATAGTGAGCGTAATCCTATTTTGTGATATCAAGTGTTTTCAACCTTTGGTATTTGACAAACTTTCTAAAATCAAATTTCAAATCCAGTGTTTTGACCTCATTAATTTTTTAGATATTAGGTCCCCTGAAGTCTTGAAGAGACATATTCATCTTACTTGGTACGAGAGGGCCACTGAAGGCTATACTGGAGTGGAGTGCCTAGTGGGCATGTCCTGTCAGACAGCAATAATTCAAGCATCCCCTGAGAATGGCCCTATGTTCCTTGGTGAATGTTTGTTCATTGTTCTAAACTATGGACCCCAGGAATGGCCAATCCAGATGTTTACACTATACCTATGAAGAACACCTGTAACCTGGCCCAGTCCTTGGGAAGCAGGTCCTGGAGGGAACCAAGGCCCTTTGTTTTGGGCTAAGTGGAGGTTGCCGGGTGGAGGTGGCTAAGTGGAGGTTGCTGTGGGAAGGATACTATATAAACTGCATGCTTTTTACAAATGTGAGGGGCTTTCTGTCCAGCCTGCTGCTCCTGGACTCCTTGTATGTAAGTTCCCTGAATAAAGCTTATGTCTCATCTGCTCTCTCCAAGTCTTTTCTTTACTCTCTCCAAGACTGTGCTCTCCGAGCTTGCAAGTGTCTAGCACGGGTCTAGCAGGACAGATGTAAAATGGTGTTGTAACTTTCTTTGAGTTATATATAAATAAATGTGTTCCAAAATTGTATGAGATGCCTATAATTCTGTTATAGCTTCCTCTATGGTGTTTTTGTTTTGTTTGTTTGTTTGTTTTGAGACAGAGTCTCACTCAGTCACCCAGGCTGGAGTGCAATGGCACAATCTTGGCTCACTGCAACCGCCACCTTTTAGGTTCAAGCAATTCTCATGCCTCAGCCTCCCGAGTAGCTGGGACTACAGGTGTGCACCACCACACCAAGCTGCTTTTTGTATTTTTAGTAGAGATGGGATTTTGCCATGTTGGTCAGCTGGTTTCAAACTGTTGGCCTCAAGTGATCCGCCCACCTCAGCCTCGCAAAGTGCTGGGATTACAAGTTTGAGCCACCGCACACAGCAATATATGTTATTAGTAATAATAATCATTTTTACGGTAAGTTGTTGTGTGTCACAGAAATAACCAAATTTCCTTGTCAATTTTGTGTTTGCCAAGGCTGCTCTAATACTTTTGCTATCCACAGTTACTGTTTTACTTTAATTCTTCTCAATACCAGTTTATGGTCAGCTACAGGCTATGCCATTGGACTAGAGAAAAAAAATCCAGGACTCTAATTAAAAAGTTGTTATGTTCATGAGGATTGCTAACCCAATATCAGGTGGAACGAGTTATAGAACACCTGTTACTAGATTAGGGCCTTGTGCATTGTTTTTCCAGTTTTGTTATTTGTCCAAAATTTATCTAGAATGGATCCTGAAATCTTTCCTGGCGGCAAGTCTCCAAAATAACATTTTTGATTTTTTTTCTATCTTAGGACTGATCTAATAGAGGACTGAAATAATTTTTTAGATGACTTTGTGTTTGAAACATGGCTGATTCTTTTTTTTTTCTTCTTCAGAGTCAAGGAAACGTTGATATCTTGTGAGCTATGTACAGCTTTTGACAGTTGAATGAAATACACTCTTGTGAGCAAAAGTTAAAGCACATTTCTTTCTCTCTATTTGATTTCTCCAGAATTTGGAAACTATTTGTGAGTTTTCTTAATTTATGGCAATAGAATTATTTGCATAAGTTCAGTAACAATCTGTTTTCCTTTGCAATAGGACACCATTGGAGACACTAGTTATTTTATCAAGGCTTTGACTGGCATGGCATATTTTCACATATGAGCAGGCAGCTTTGAGGAATAGAGGTTGACTTATAGAGCCAATGAAAGCCCCATCAAAAAATTGGCCTCATTCTTTAACTATGCAGGGTTCCTGATGTGGGATGTGGGGTAAGTAAGGAAAATAATACTTTCTGACAGGCCTAGGAACCCCCAAGTTATCTTGGAATCTCAAGAAGAGAGGAACTCACCCAATTCATACAGAAACCTGCAGGCACAGATAAATACTTGGCTGAACTCAAGGCTTTAAAAGGTGTAATCTGAGATTCCTTATGAAAAAGAAGATGTTCCAGCAAATCCAATTTCTTAAGAAGAACCCATATGGTAAATCATTGTTCTTACTGCACTTTATGAAAGTAATCAGGCCAAGTATCATAAGACTACAACTTATTTTTCAAATAAATTAGTCCTACCATGATTTGTCTTTGGTAGAATTAGAGGACTGAAGAGAAAAAAAAATATGTTTTAAAAGAAACTGTAGAATACCTGTTATTAGATTCTAGCTTTGTCCATTGTATTCCAGTTTTATTATTTGTCCAAAATTCATCTAGGCTGGCTCGTGAATTCTTTCTTGGCTGCAAGTCTCAAAAGAAGCATCATTCTTGTCTTCTTTCTCTCATTTTTCTCACTCGGAATCACCAGAAATTAAAACCGTGCTTCCCTGAACACCCTACAGACTGAAACTAGACAACTTCATCTGACAGGAATCAGATGAAACTCATGACCAGAGACTCATTTGCATCTCCAATGCTTTCTCAAAAAGATTTTGTAAAAGGGAGAGATAATGTCAAAGGAAAATAAAATATCAGGGCCCCAAACTCTCTATGCCAAAGAAAACCGTTAAGCAGGGAAATTGAATCAGTCAAAAAACTGCCCTTCTTTTTGTCCCTAAACAGGTATCTGCCAAGACAGAAGGCAACATATTCCCCAGGTGGTCTTCCTCAT
This sequence comes from Homo sapiens, assembly GCF_000001405.40. Lineage (NCBI taxonomy): Eukaryota > Metazoa > Chordata > Mammalia > Primates > Hominidae > Homo > Homo sapiens. Next base: position 36,167,829 of record NC_000022.11, on the reverse strand, counting down.
GGATTTCCCACAAGAAAATTCCTTGTGAGCCCCAACATCTTTTCCCTTAAAACAGAGCCTGTGGAATTTTACCATGACAATGCAAATTAGTAACTTACCTTGACAGGTACATGACAAAACCAAGACTAGAAATTACCCTGCTGCTCACTTCAACACAAATGCATATGTGACTGCTTCCTCTAATCTATGTTCATTTTATTGTTGTTGTTTTGTTTTGTTTTGAGATGGAGTCTCCCTCTCTAGCCCAGGCTGGATTGCAGTGGCATGATCCCGGCTCACTGCAACCTCCACCTCCTGGATTCAAGCGATTCTCCTGCCTCAGCCTCCTGAGTAGCTGAAACTACAGGCGTGCACCACCATGCCCAGCTACTTTTTGTATTTTTAGTAGACCCGAGGTTTTGCCATGTTGGCCAGGTTGGTCACGACCTCCTGACTCCAGGTGATCCAAGTGCCTAGGCCTCCCAAAGTGCTGGGATTACAGGCATGAGCCACCAAGCCCTGCCTGTTTATTTTTATCTTCTGTAAAATACACATTTACTGAGCATGAGATGAATGCATAATTACTGTTCTTCTATCCATGCCTTTTACATGCAGCACATAGATTCAGGAAGTGCTAATCAAAGCCTCACAAGAATGTGACAACTCTTCTCACTACCTGTCCTGTCTTTTTTTTTCATCCCTCCTCCTCCTTCCCACTCTTTACCTTTGAAATATTGAAGCCCTTAAAACCCTCTTTTGAAAACTTGTGGGCCACAGATCCGACTGTGACTTGTGTCTCTTTTTTTTTTCCTGTGGGCATCCTCAACCATGACAAAATAAACCACTAAACGGATTGAGATCTGTCTCAGACGCATCTTGGTTTACAAATCTTGGCTCCTCCCCGAGTTGCTGGTTGAAAGCCACAGCCTCATGCCTTGCCTCAGTTTCCTCACCTGTAAACTCAGATCATACTCCTGGCCCATTTAAGAGATGGTTATCAAATTCCAATTAAATAGAGAAGTGGGTATATTTCAAAGTGTATCGTACAGTTCTTGTGTAATCACCCTCCTGTTCCTCCCTGAAAATCTGGCAGGTGTATGGGGTGGTGGCCACGAGGCTGCAGGGACATTTGCCCAGGATGAAACAGTTCCCAGTGAAAGGGTCATGTTGGTCAGGGTTCAGCCCCTCTCAAAACCCTTCTGCCTGGGGTAAAGCAGAAAAGTCCGCCAGCAATCCGACAGCACGCCTTCTTAGCCACGGGACTGTGGCTGAGCAGTGGGCTTAGGCCCCTTCCCTCTAAGTGTTACCAATAATCCTGCACTGGGATGGATTCTTAACAGAGGTGGGGATTAACAGAGCTGGAGCTCTGGACCAGCAATCTCAGTTCCTCTGATAGTGAGCGAAGAATTGCAGACTAACACCAAAATGCAAGCTCAAGGCAAAGTGTATTGAAGCACAGTAATATACTCTCAGAGGGAGAGCGGAATGATTTCTGCGAAGTGAAATAAGCCCCTCTTTACAGGGTTTAAGGTGCTTTTATGGGGTTTGTGGGGAGGAGTCAAGGTTTGGGTTGTGTCTGAGTAACAGGATGATGTCATTTGATTGGCAGTTTATGGTTATATAACTAAAATTAAACTGGCATGGTTTTACCCATCATTTATACAGAAAAGCCCACTCTGGGGAAAGGAGGGTACAACCACATGTAAATTTTATTATAATGATGGTATAATGAACTTGGGGTGACCTGAGGGCATGTTTTTGTGTTACTGGGCATGTGCCCCTTTAGGAGACTTCCACCTGTGCCTTACTTTCTCTTTCTTTGGGATGTGCTGGCCACAGACTTTACCAAAAACTCCATCCATTAGGATGGCATTAGGACGGTTCTGGGGCTAAACTTAGGTGGGCCAGGGGCTGTTTCACTGTCAGCCTTTCTACTCTCTTTTCTTACCCACTCCTAGCTGCTAATGTCTATTTAACTACCTAATATTTCCCCCTTTAGAGAAAAAAAGCCAAATTTTTGGGTAGATCGGTGACAATTAATCTGGCTACTTCCTGCTGACAAGAGGCAGTGGTAATAATTGGGTTCTCTTTTTTGCTCTCTTGTAGCTGGTAGGTTGGGCAGAGAAAAGTGGTGGCCATCCAAGGGGCCCACGTAGATATCAGACATGGTTGAGACCTCGCGGTAACCTTGTGTAGAATCATTTGGAGTTTTATGGATTCTAGGTGGGAAGAAACAAAACAACCTTGTAAATCAAATGAGCATCGTTTGAAAGCTATAAGTTGTATAAAGCTGTTTTAGGACCAAGAAAGGGGGCTAACCAGGAAAACCAGGACCAGTTGTTAAATTTCCACCAGTCAAAGCCTCCTGAAACTCTGTTTTCCATTAACTTGTTGGCCCTGTCTGTAATTTTTTTAAGTTGGTTTGCACTTTACCTGATTGGTTGATGAAAACAGCAATGTTTATCAAGTGTTGCACAAGCTCCCCCTTGATTGGCTGTGAGCAAATTAAAAGCTCATCAATTTCATAAGACTATGCTTGCTAATGAAGCAATTTGTTCTGAAAGGGTATTGACCTGGTTAGTTAGATTAATAATTTGTTGAGTAATTTTTAAGAAGAGTTTCTGGGCAGTAAAAATGGAGTTAAGGAGGTCCTCCAGTTCCCGTGCCAATACCAGCCAGAACGCCAATTATAGTCAGTGCTGTTAAAACTCCTCTTTCAGTTTTACCAGATTGAGCGTGTATAGGGAGGGGAATGCTATCGATAAGAGTGAGTTTGGGGATGATGTAAACTAGGGCCAAATCCCCGTTTAATTAGCAGACAAGCAGAGATATGCCTTGTTTCTATACAAAAATGTGATTTGTCATGTTAAGACAAATATCAACAGTGATACTAAAGTAGGGTTTTTCCATGCTGTGTAAGTCTGCTTTAATACCCTCAGAAGTGGAAGTCAAGGCTAGTTCATGTAATGGGGGAACACAGGCAGTACTTGACAGAATGAAAGAGGAATCAAAAGCCCAATTAGAGGAAGGAGTGATGGGATCCCAACCAATATTGTGAAATTATGGGGAGCTGCAGTTTTTTGCAATGATTTTGCCCGAAGTTGTGAGACTGAAACCAGAAGTTGTTATGTTTAAAATGATATTCTGGTGTGGGTCTGGGGAAAAGGGTAGATCCAGAATAGCTGGCTTCTTTCCACATAGTGGTTCTGTTGGGGGGCTTGGGAAATGAATAAAACACAAAGAAGAATTAGAATATCAGGTATGTTTGCATTTTTTGTTGTCAGTGACTAAGCTGACACATAATTGGGTGGAAAATAGGGTACAAGTGTGATTGCAAGCCTTGGAAATATTAGGAAAAAATCCAAGTAATGGCCTCATCCTCAATGAAGATAGAAGACAAAGGAGTGCTTAGTCAGATAGTATTACAGATAGACGACAGGTCCTCGGAGGTTGTAACAGGTTTGTTGGTATAGACTTTTAAGGAGTATGCAATTGACTGTGGGCTCGACCCTAGGATTGACAGCTTATTCTGGTCGGTTAACAGAAGTGGGGGCTGGAAATGTTTCTGATTGATTCCACTCAGAAGCAGGAATGGAAATGGCTGATAGACCTCTGCTAGGGAAGGTGTAAACACAGATTCAACAGTTTCTGTGATGTTGTGCAGTCCGTTGATGTTGTGTTTAAACAAGGTTTTAAAACTTCTTTGATGGTAGCTAAATATGGGTGTTGGAAAAAAACATTAGGAGAAATGATTGCAAGGGTTAATCTAGTTTAAAAAGCAAAAATATTGGTTACTGCATTTAAAACAGCTATTTTAGCATAAAAAATTATTTCACCCATTCAGGAGGAGGCAATTGAACTGCAAATATATGAGAATAACTATAACAATCCAACTTAAAGCTAATATTTAAAAAAAGGCACTAGGGAAAGTCAGTGGGCATTACTTATTTTTTGGCAGTCTTTTAAAGAGAGGCTTGAGGTCCACTAAAGTCTCACAAGTGTATTTGTCTGTGGAGACATCATCAGTTTGGGCAGCCCTCTGTGGTTTTACATAGGAGTGTGGATGCAGCTGGCAATCCAGAATACACAGCACTGAGATCAAGGTAGTCTCGACATCCCAATATCCTTGACCATTACCAGGAGAGAGTGTCCCCTGCTCTTTAGATGGAGGCTCCGCCTCCCCTGGGGCAGTCTGTGTGTCTCTCAAGTTGTACCTATGTGTGGACCATGGCTGTGCCCAGCATGGAGACCCCTTCCTACAGTGGGTACTACAGCCTTGCTGAAAACATTTGTCCCCTAGATTCTGAATAAAAGTGGTTAGAAAGAAAGAAAAGAAATGAAGCTCTGTTCAAAAGAAAAAGGAAAAAAAATTGCAAAACGATCTTCAGAAGCTGTGCTGCTGCCTATGGCAGTGTGGCAGGGAGGGGGCCTCGGGTGGGGTGAGTGCCCAAAAGGGTGGGCGAGGACGATTTGGGGAGTTCTCCAAAGGTTATGACCCACTATGGGCCTACCCTTCGTTCCCGGCTGTAAACCTCTAAACTTAGCATTTATCCAAGCTATCCCATGATCTGAATCCCAATCGGCTCTCTTAATCAGTAATTTTAAAAATTGCATCCAGCCAAAATGCCCAGTCTAAAGGGAGTTGAGGGTGATTCCTGGCTCTGTGGCCAGAGCATAAGAAACCATTTTGCCTCTCAAAGCTTCCCTGGGCTGTTAACAAGCTCTGGGCTTCAATGGCCACTACAACCTAATGAAGTTGTTTAATCACGTTAAACAGCTAATTAAACCTAAATCCAGAGAAGATTTCTCTAAGCCCTTCTCTAAAAGTTATTGGTGGCATGTTGGGGGATATACCCCCTCTCTAATGCAGCAAATACAACACTCATTGCAACTTCTCTTAGCCAAGCAGCGAAACATAGCACAAACATCTTGACCCAAAGCGAAAGGAAGCATTTTAGCAAAATATGTTTCAGTTCCCCAAGCTAAAATCAAGCACATATTAAAAGCCATGCTGAACGTAAATCATCCAGGTCACAGCACTAAGATATTACCAGGAATTCTGCGCTGGGATGGATCCTTTAACTGAGGAGATTAACAGAGCTGGAGTTCTGGACCAGTAATCTCAGTTCTTCTGAGAGTGAGCAAACAATTGCAGGCTAACTCCAAAATGCAAGCTCAAAGCAAAGTGTATTGAAGCACAGTTAGACACTCTCAGAGGGACAGTGGGCTAATTTCTGTGAAGTGAAGTCAGCCCCTCTATATAGAGTTTAAGGTGCTTCTGTGCGGTTTGTGGAGAGAAGTTGAGGTTGGGGCTGTGTCTGAGTAAAGGACGATGTCATCTGATTGGCAGTTTATGGTTATATAACTAAAATTAGGCAATGCATGTTTTTACCCATAATTTTCACAGAAAAGCCCACTCTGGGGCTTTTGTATAATAAAACCACATTTTATTATAATGATGGTATAATGAACTTGGGGTGACCTGAGGGCACAGTTTCATGTTACTGGGCATGTGCCCCTTTAGGGAATTTCCACCTGTGCCCTAGTTTCTCTTTCTTCAGGATGTGCTGGCCACAAACTATACCACCAACTTCATCAGTTAGGGGGGTCTTAGAATGGCTCTGGGGCTGAACTTAGGTGGGCCAGGAGCTGTTGCAGTGACAGGCTTTCTGCTCTCTTTTCTCCTCCCAGCTGCTAATGTCTACTTAACTGCCTGTTGGGAGCTGAAAAGGCCAAAGGGATTGTGACCAACTCAGCATTTCACTGGAGGCTATATGATCAAACAGCAAACTGTTTATCATGAATGCGGGATGTGGGTAAACTCACACTGCACCCGCCGCCAGAAGGTTTCCTGAGGGCCATCACTCCCTGGTGCTGGGCTCCTTGAAGTTATCTGTTGGGATATCTAGCACCTATTATTTGAAGGATGCAGTCTTGCAAGCCTGCTGTGAACCAAACGGCTGACTGACAATTACCTGACAATCACCCCCCCACCTTTTTCTCGTCATCTCTTTTACCTAATAAACTCAGAGAGCTTGAAAAGCTCAGAGCCCTTGTTCACTAGAAGCAAGGAACCCCCTGACCCCTTCTTCCTAATATACTCTTTTGTCTTTGTCTTTTACTCCCACATCCGCCCCCCACTTTGTTCAGTCAACCTGGGACTGTGGCCAATTACAACAGCCTAACAAAAGTGCCACAGGAGTGGAACATGGGGCAGTGGGCTCTGCTGAAGAGGATGCTAGGGGGCTTCTCAGGGGAGGAAATGCTAGATTTGCATTCTGATAGAGGAGCGTGACTTTTCCAGGTGAAGGTAGCAGGTGCTCCTGGCAGAAGAACCCACATAAGGAAGTGTCCAGAAGCCACACAGGTATGGCGTTCGACAAGAGCAGGTCTGGAACGGTGGCTCATGCTGAGGCAGGAGGATCATTTGAGGCCAGAGTTTGAAACCAACCTGGTAAAAATAGTAAGATTTCACCCCTTCAAAATCATTTTTTAAAAGTAGCCAGGCCGAGTGGCTCATGCTTGTAGTCCCAGCTACTCAGGAGGTTCATTTGAACCCTGGAATTTGAGGCTACAGTGAGCTATTATTGTGCCACCGCACTCCAGCCTGGGTGACAGAGCCAGACCCCATCTCAAAAACAAAACAAAACAAAACAACAAAATAACCCCAACAGCAATACAATCAATATGCAATAAGCGTCCACCCGGCATGTGTGATGGACTGTGGTAATGCTGATGGCATGGAGGGAGTGAGGTGGGCATCTGGGGAGTGTGGTGTTATTGGGGGTGGGGAGTAATCTGGAGGGTCTCATAGTCTTTCAGTGGTAGGTCTTTCTTCCTGAAGACACAGCAAACCCCCAACCCTAAGTATGGGAGGCAGGTGGGTTGGCCAAGAAGGACGTCTGGGGCTGCTCTTGGATCAGCAGGAGGGTGGGACCAAGGGTGCTGCTGGACCAAGGATGGGACTGGGCCAAGGGTGGGGCTGGGAAGCATCCTGTTTTGCATGTTTGATCAGGAGCTGCTGCCAAGTTGTGACTTTCACTTTCCCTTTTGGGTTCCAGGGTATATCTCAGAGCCTGGAGAACGTGTCTGGTTATTATGCAGATGCACGGCTGGAGGTGGGATCCACACAGCTCAGAACAGCTGGATCTTGCTCACACTCTTTCAAGAGAAGCTTCCTTGGTAAGTTAGGGGTGGTCTGACCTTCCCCATCTCCCCATCCTCACAGCAGCTCTATAAGAGAAGGGTCATTCACCTTTTGTAGATGAGCTCAGAGAGGTTAGGTAACTGACTGAGGTCACATCTCGGTCCATGGCAGAGCCTGAATTTGCACCCAGGTTTTAGCTGGACTTCTCCCTCCCTCTCTCTGGGCCCCCAAACAGTAGAGACAGAGGCAGAATCAGCTCAGCTGGGTTCACAAAGCTTCCTAGGGCTCAGCTCTAGTTCCAGCCTGCGTGAGACATGGCCCGGTGACCCCAGAAGGAAGGCAGATGTTGGGACTGTCCATTCCTTTAGAATATTTGGAGGAACCAGAGAAGGTGGAGGACAGGAGGTGATCCAGAGCCTGGCCTGTCCTTCTTGTGGCCTGGCCACCCTGAGGCTGGCCCCAGGGTGCTGCTGCTGAGGCCCGATGGGGACAGAGGATTTCCTTTGAGATACAAGGAACCTGGCTGGGCGCGGTGGCTCATGCCTGTAATCCCAGCACTTTGAGAGGCCGAGACGGGTAGATCACTTGAGGTTAGGAGTTCGAGACCTGCCTGGCCAATATGGAGAAACCCTGCCTCTACTAAAAATACAAAAAATTAGCTGGGCGTGGTGGCACAAGCCAGTAATCCCAGCTACTTGGGAGGCTGAGGCATGAGAATCACTTGAACCCAGGTGATGAAGGTTGCAGTGAGTCGAGATCGCACCAGTCACTCCAGCCTGAGTGCACTCCTGACAGAGTGAGACTCTGTCTCAAAAAAAAAAAAGAGAGAGAGAGCGAAAAGAGATAACAAGGAACCCAGAGGTTGTTTCACCCACCCTGACTCTGAGCACCTACTTGAGCCAGGCCCTGTGGGTAAACTGAGGCCATGGGAGATGAGTGACTCGCTGAGGGTCCCATGTCAGGAAGTTGAGCAGGTAGATCACAGGACTCCATGTCCCTGACACTCACCTGGTTCCTTTTCAGGCCTCTGGGTGATAGAGAAGAAAGAAGCTGTGCTGTTCCCTAGTGGGAAAGATGGCCCAGACAGGGGCAGTGAGAACGGCATGTTGCAGAATGGTGTCTGCCACATGATCCCAGCTTGACAATCATGAGATTAAAAGTCAAACTGTGGAAGCGTGAGCATAACTGTGGGAGCGTGAGCTTAGCCCTCTGTGTTTGTAGAAGCAGAAACAAACCTGGAAGATTTTGGATTATTAACATTATACTTTCTTGCTTCAATGTCAGAGTCAGGAGGTCAGGTGTTGACCTTCCCCCTGCCCTCCAAGAGGTGTGTGACACTGGGGAAGTCACTTCCCCTCTCTGAGCCTCAGGGTTTTTCACCTGCCTTAGGGGGTTAGGATGCCCTACCCTGCTGACCCCCAGCAGGCTGCTGACCCCATCTGGGGTGAGGTGGGAGGCGGGGCAGTGCGAGTCAGGGGAAAGTTGACATTGCAGCCCAGATGCCTGCAGGGGCTGCAGGAAAGTGGGGAGAGCTGGAGGCCTGCATGGGCTTCTCAGATCCAGGTGATGCCCAGCAGGTGAGAGGGTGGGCCTGGCTCCTCAGAGCTCAGATGACGGAACATTTGCTATAAACTCAGGTGCAATTACATTTGACATGCTGGCAACCAAATAAAAGGCAAACCTTGCATATGCCACACACACACTCACAAATTCACACACACACACACACACACACACGCACACTCACACCTGCTATTCAGATTTCACTTCATGGAGCCCTGTGTTTCTCACCTCTGTGTCGTGGCCTCGAAGGGTCTTTGATTCTGTGCAGCTTCTTTTCCTCCTCATTTCTTTAAGGGAGGCATCGCATTCATTAGTCTTTTTTTTCTGACGGAGTCTTGCTCTGTCGCCCAGGCTGGAGTGCAAGTAGCACCATCGGCTCACTGCACCCTCCGCCTCCTGGGTTCAAGTGATTCTCCAGCTCACCCTCCTGAGTAGCTGGGACTACAGAGGCGTGCCACCACGCCCGGCTAATTTTTAGTATTTTTAGTAGAGACGGGGTTTCACCATGTTAGCCAGGATGTTCTCGATCTCCTGACCTTGTGATCCACCCACCTCCGCCACCCAAAGTGCTGGGATTACAGGCATGAGCCACCGTGCCAGGCGCATTCCTTAGTCTTAATGGGCATAGTGTTAGGGACCCGCCTACTCCCTATGGCAGGAGATTTAGTGATTTCTCCCTTTTTGGTGATAGAAACAACGCTGCATGGCACCCTCTAAAGCCCCTGTCCCTGCACACTTGCCCTCTGCTCCCTGGAGGCTGAGACCTAGGAGTGGGTGCTGTGCCATGACGTGGGGGCACTTTGTAAAGTGTGCTGAGTATCGCTGACGATCCTCCAGGACACCAGAACCTTTCACACTCCATCAACAGTGAAGGGGCTTGTGCCACCTTTACCTCCCTAACAGTGGACATTATTAGTCACTTTAGGTTTGGCTTATCTAATGTTTCAAAAACGTATGTCTCTGTGATCACTTACATATATGGTTCAAAAGTGAGCTTGAGTGCCTTTTCATATGGTTAACGTTAATTTCTATTTCTTCAGATCCTATCTTTTACCCATTTTTAAATTTTATTTATTTATTTATTTATTTATGAGATGGAGTCTGGCTTTGTTGCCCAGGCTGAAGTGCAGTGGCGCAATCTCAGCTCACTGCAACCTCCACCTCCGGGGTTCAAGCAATTCTCCTGTCTCAGCCTCCCAAGTAGCTAGGACTACAGGCGCGTGCCTCCACACCTGGCAAATTTTGATATTTTTAGTAGAGTCAGAGTTTCACCATATTGGTCAGGCTGGTCTCGAACTCCTGACCTCAGGTGATCCACCCGCCTTGGCCTGCCAAAGTGCTGGGATTACAGGTATGAGCCACCGCACCTGGCTATATTTTTAGAAACTTGATTTCAGTCTTTTCATGTTGATTTGAGCATTTCTTGTGGATTGTGGACAGTTACCTTTGCTTTAAGTATTGCAAACCGTGCTTCCTATTCTTTCATTTTATTCTGGCTCTTGAATGATGTTCTTTCTAATTTTTAATTTGTAAGAGGTAAAACTCTATTCAATTTTCCCTTTAAGTCTTCTGGGAATTGAGTTTTGATTCGAAAGGTCTTCCCAACTCAACATTGTTTTTAACATTTCTTCTAGTATAGTTTTAATTTTTTCTTTCTGGGGTACACTTAGATCCCTTTGGGATTGATTTACTTATTTTTGGAGAAGAATTTGTTTCTTCTTCTTTTAAATGTAGGACCTATTTCATGGGTACCTACTACAGACAAAGAAGAACAAGACTTTTTTGTGTGTATTCTAAGGCACAACAAGTGCAGGAAGGAAATGACCTCTTTCCCGTAAAAGTCCCTGGCAGTAGTTGGTTGCTGCATAAGAGTGTCATGGACCCGGAGGGAGCTGGGCCCAGATGCAGGCCTGGGCCATTGCCGTGGGGGAGGGGAGGCTTGGAAACCATGGCTATGATTCAGAGGTTAGCTGGCTCGCGTGTTTTTAGAAATTTCTTTTTTCTTTCTCCTCGTACAAAAGTAATAAGACTGGGGAGGACACGGGAGAAAATAAATGGAAACTCAGAAACCTGATAGAGCCACCAAAAGTACATGAAATCAGAGTCATGGTCTTATTTGTTCTTCCCCAAAAAGAGATGAGCATCTAGATAGCAAGGAAAAACATTCAATCCCTCAACTGAAAGTGAAACTGAAGCTGGGCCATGTTGTCCAGAGGCTGGTTGCTTTTAGTCCAAGTGCTGCCTCCCACACCTCGGATTTCAGCCAGGCTGTGCCACGGAGGGCAGAGGCCACCCAGGTCAGTCATAGGGGATGCAGCTGGGAACACCGCAGGGTCCCTGCCGGATGCTCAGAGTTTAACGGGGAGACAGAGGCCCAAAGAGCCACACAGAGGTAGAGCTGCCCCCGGAAAGCAGAGTGCTCAGGGAGCCTGGGGAGGGCTGGGGGACGCTGCAGGGTCCAGGCAGCTTTGGCTGAGCCTCTGAGGATGGGTGACTTGCACATGGTGGGGAAGGTGGGGGAGGCATTCCAAGGGGAGGGAGCAGCCTGAGCAAAGGCCTGAGGCTGGGAATGGGAGTGGGGGGAGTAGATGGGCTCTGGGAGGCAGGGAAGCAGGGCGTCAGTGTGTACCTGGACCCAAGGTGACTGTGTGGGCAGGGAGCAGTGAGGAAAGTAGGAGCCCGTGTGCCCAGTTAAGGGGTTGAACTTGACCCTGGCAGGTCATTAAAGATTCCTCAGGAGACCTAGGTATTGTGGCTCAGGGCTGTAATTCCCGTGCTAATGCACGAAGGCTAATGCAGGAGGATCCCTCGAACCCAGGAGTTCAGGACAAGCCTGGGCAGCATAGCACGACCCCATCTCTGCAAAAATGAAAATAAAAAGATTGACTGACATAGTGATGCACTTGTAGTTCCCACTACTCAGAAGGATGAGGCAGGAGGATCGATTGATCCTAGAACGTCAACACTACAGTGAGTTATGGTGGTGCCACTGCGTTCCAGCCTGGGTAACAGAGCAAAAAAAAAAAATATTGAAAATAAAAATAAAGATTCCTCAGGAGGAGCACGGTGTCTTCACCCCTCTCTCCCTCTCTCTCTGCCTAAGGAGGAGGCCCCACAGCCACTTGCAGGGAGCTGCTTTGCTGAGAGTCTCTGTCCTCTGCATCTGGAGAGCTTGGCTCAGAGCTGAGGCAGGAGGGAGGGCTCCCTGTCTGGGCCTCCTCCAGGAACTAAAGTCCCTTTCCGGGAATTGACCAAACTGCAGGCTTGCCCAGGGAGGACATGCTGTGTCCTAGTTCAGCTCGAGGGGCAGTATCCAGCTTCAACCCTCAGCGGATGCCCCAGACAAGATTCCGAGCCAGGCCAACAACGCCTAAGGAGGACGAGACCCTGGGTGTAGCTCATCAGAGGTGTCAGGTGTGGTCTGAGGCCCCAGCTCTCTCTGCCCTCCTGCTCCTCTGCTCTGTGCTGGCTCCTGGTCCTTATGGCTCATGATGTTGAGACAGCTGCCCTGGCCTAGGGGGTCACACACTGAACAAAGCAGGAAGAAGGGGAAGGGGAGCCCTCCTTCTATCACCCTTATCCCTTACAGCAAGAAGCACCCAGAAACCCCTCAGCACACTCCCCTAGTGCCTCTATTGGCCTCACTGTCACCATGGTTGCATGGGGGCCCCAGACAATAGACACCTGGATGCAAGATCCCTAAGACAGAGGCAGGAAATAGGAAGAGGGAGGTGAGAGGCTTTCGATGAGGATGCTTCTACACATGACCTTGAGGATGAAAACGCATCAGGGGGTCCCGGGAACCACTGCGTTGTTAACATAAAGTCTGGGAGCAAAGACCAGCGGCTGGAATGGATGTGCCTGGGAGCCAGCTGAAACAGATGCAGCCGAAGCCACAGTAAAGAAGAAAGAGATAGGGGCCTGCTTGGAGCCAACCCCTACCTTTGAGGGGCCTGACAGGGCCACCTCACAGCTGCCTGGGCTTGTTGTTGCCTCCTCACTACAGAAACCATGGAAGTCTCTAGAGTCAATGTTTCCAGGCTGGGGCTGCCAGATCACTCCTGTAGGTGGTTGAACCAGTTGAGTTCATTCTTCTCAGTGAGGGGGACACAGGTGGAGGTCCATCGGCACCTCCATAAGGGGTGCGAGAAGGAACCTGTTAGAATATCTGGGTTCTGGCTGGGTGATTGGCAGGAGGGCCTATGAAATGGAGCCCACTCTGGATTGGGTGTTGCAGAAAGTGGGGGGCAAGTCTACCAGTGGGTATCTCAGCAAATCTCATCTAGAGAGAGGGAGACCAGGAAGAGGTTAGAGTTGACTTGGTGTAGAAAAAACAGGCATTCTATTTAGCCAGGAGAGGGAGTGTTTGGTATTTTGTGGGTGGAGCAGAGACTCAGTTTCTGTCTATACTTAGACAGTATTATGAAGTCTAATTGCTCTGTCTCATTTGCTCACAATCTCAGAGTCACCCTGTGTGTGGTTACTATTCTGTGACATTATTTCTGTCCATAGGAGAATAACACAGCCCTTCTGGGAGTCCACGCCAGCTTCCAAATGTCTGTGGCAGCTCTTCCTTCATTCTCAACACTTACGAACAGGAACATAAATAAATAGAAGGAAAAATATCCATTTATATTAAGATGCTCTTCTTGTTAAAACCAATTAACAATTAAACATTCTCTGTTACGATAAGTCTTTGCATTTCAAGTACCCTGTTTTAGCCTTTTCTGTATACTTTTCTCAAATGTTCTCACTTGAATGTTAGTATCAACCCAAGGCCTTTCACAGATTCATCTTGGACCAAGTAAACATGATCATAATAATCACAATCAATTATTACTGTTGAATATAAGCGGTATAAACCAAAAGTAAGATTCTAAGCCTCCCCCTCATTTAAAGGACTTCCTCCTCAGCCAGGGCTCTTAAAATTTAACCTGAAAGACTGGTTCAGGCCATGAAGGGAAATGGGGGTCAGACATGCTTCATTATGCCTCTCTGGCATTAATATCAACACAGGCTTTCAGTCTAATAAGAAACATTTTACAGCCTGTTTCTCTGTGAAGCCTGCTAGCTGAAAGCTTCATCTGCAGGATAAAACTTTGGTCTCCACAACCTCTTATCACAACTCAAACATTCCTTCCTATTGATCTCCGGTCTTTAGACAAACTCAACCAATTGTCAACCAGAAAACGTTTCAATTTACCTGTAGCCTGGAAACGCCCACTTTGAGTTGTCCCGCCTTTCTAGACCAAACCGATGTATTTCTCAAGTGTACTTAATTGATGTCTCATGCTCCCTAAGTGTATAAAATCAAGCTACACCCCAACCACCTTGGGCACATGTCATCAGGACTTCCTGAGGCTGTGTCACAGGCATACGTCCTCAACCTTGGCAAAATAAACTTTCTAAATTAACTGACACCAGTCTCAGATTTTCCGGGTTCACAGCGGTTGGGACTGACCAGTGGGCATCCCTTTGAACACTGCTCTGAACATCTTTGGAAGCGTCCTTGCTTTCTGGGGTAACACATATCACAGTCTGGGGAATTTGGTTCCCCACAAGACGTCTTGGTTCCTTTGGGTGGAAAAGAAGCCCGTATGTTGAGTGGCAAGGTGCCACTGGAAATTATACTGATTCAAGATAGGAGTTCACTCTGATTATGCTGTTAATATTAACAGTTTAACATAAAATGACAACATCCGTACTTTTCTTAGCAGCTTGGTTACCCCAGCCACCGAGGTTTCTCTGAAGCTGACATTTCTCCCATCAGGAGGCAGGTGTATTTCTCTTTGGCACTTGCTCACACTTCTCCATCAACTTTAAGGTGGTGGCACCACAATCCAAACCATTATTGAGGTTAGCAGTTACTAACTACTATAAAGTAACTTCTGTTTTGTTAAAATTTAAAAAAATCAATTAATAAGTGTATACGGTTCAGACAAATCATTTAATAAAGAGGGCTCCACTCACTCCCTTCCCAATTAAAAGCAGCTAATTTTGATGTTCAGATTTTCCTTTTTTTATTTTCTGAGACAGAATTTCACTCTTGTTGCCCAGGCTGGAGTGCAATGTAGCTATCTTGGCTCACCACAAACTCCACCTCCTGGGTTCAAGCGATTCTCCTGCCTCAGCCTCCTGAGTAGCTGAGATAACAGGCATGCACCACCATGCCCGGCTAATTTTTTCATTTTTTTAGTAGAGACAGAGTTGCTCCATGTTGGTCAGGCTGCTCTCGAACTCCCAACCTCAGGTGATCCACCCACCTCAGCTTCCTAAAGTGCTGGGATTACAGATGTGAACCAGTGTGCCTAGCCAGCTTTTCTTTAGGGAGTAAATCATTTTCTTTACATAATATTCTTATGCTAGCAGATGAAATAGAGTGAGAGTGCATGCTCTGGAGATTGGGCACTTGAGTTTGGCTTCTGGCTGTCACTAGCTAGGGGCTCCAGGTGAATTACTTAACTTCTCCAAGCTTTAGTTTTCCCCTCAGAACTATTAAGATGATAACAGTGCCTACGTAGGATGGTTGTTGTGAGAACTAAACGTGAGTTTATTTAACTTTATTTCTTATGCCCTTAACTGTAGCCAGTATTTCTTGACTCTTCACTTTACAAAATGGCCATATTAATCCTCCCCCTCCTTCCTTCAGTGTTTCACCTCCCACCTTTACCATGGAACATTAATTATACTGACTGGTAACAAGTAGATTTAGTTCTCATATGTAAATGTTCTGTTTTGTTCTAAAAGTTAAAAGTTAACCAAGTGTTTACATTTTGGTGACGCTTTAAATCTTGCTTACTGTTGAGCTGAGTTGTACAATATGGTTGCACATGTTTTGCTGCACGGCTTTAGTTTTTCCTGATGTTTCTAATTGCCTTTGTTTTTTCCCCCTCTTGTACTGTTTGCCTTCATGATTTCCTCAGTTTTTCTCAAACTGTGAATTATATGCAATGTTCTATCGAGTCCCCTTTCCCTACAGAGCCCTTTCCTTCTTATTCTATCCTGGACTGGTTGCTTTCTAGGCCTGCTGCATGCCCAGCTGTGATCCTTGCATTTCCTTCTCCCTGGGTTGATTTTTCTCTTTCACGTCTTTTTCTCTCTTGGTTTTCCTTATCCCCTCTCCATGAGTGTGCGTGCACACACACACACACACTCACATTCTTCCTCCTCTCAGCCTCCACAGCTCATTCTCAAGTAACTTTCTTTTCTGTTATTTACTTGTTTTTCTTTTAACAGAGACAGGGTCTTGCTCTGTGACCTCTTGGGCTCAAGAGATTCTCCCCAGTCAGCTTCCAGAGTAGTTGGGACTAGAGGCATGCATCACCACACCTGGTTCATTTTTGTATTCTTTGTAATGATGGGGTGTCACTATGTGGCCCATACTGGTCTAGAACTCCTGGACTCAAAGAATTCTCCTGCTTACCCTCCCAAAGTATGGGGTTATAGGCATGAGCCACCATGCTCAGACTCAAGTAGCTTTCTATGTAATTATTATGTATGGTAACTTTCTTATTCTATATCTAGCTCTGTTTTTGTTTTTGTTTTTTTCTTTTTCTGTCATCCTTTTAGTTGATTTTCTGGAAAGCTTCCTTGCCTATCTTTTTGAATCTTGTCCTAGAGTTGTTTATTTTCTCAATCACCTTTTAATTCTCAAGAAGTCTTTTTTGTTCCATCATCTTTGTTCCTTTTCAGTACATAATGTTCTCATTTATGAATAAAACATTTTTATGTCCCTGAGGACATGGGTTTGAGTTTTTAAAAATTATTTTCTATTTTCGCAATCATCCATTTCTTCTGGACTCATTTTTTACTTGTTATCTTGACCTTTTCCCCATTTTTTGTCTTTCTGCTTTATCTGATCCTAGATCTATTCATATTAAAGAAAGGGGCAGGTCCACTGGCAGTCTTCCCTGTAGAGTGATGAAATGAGAACTCCTTGGCATCAGGATACAAAGATATTATTTCTGGGGCCTTTAGATGCAGTTATGAAGTCTCTAATTTTTTCCATTGGTGTAGACTCACGGCTACTGTGAATCCTGTATGGGTCGTGGGGCTGGTGAACTTCTCCCCTCTCTGAGGCTCTGCTTAGCAGGCAATTCTTGGCTGAATGTGCTCTTGGTGTTGCTGTGGATTGCAGATCCCTTTACCCCTCTCTATTCAGTTGTCACTTCTTCAGCCAGTTCTGTCTTCCAAATATCTGTTGAAGTCTCTGATCTCCTGTTTTCCTCATTCAAATTTTCATATGTATATATTTTTTGAGACAGAGTCCCAGTCTGTCACCAGGGTGGAGTGCAGTGACCCAATCTCGGCTCACTGCAACTTCTGCCTCCTGGGTTCAAGCGATTCTCCTGCCTCAGCCTCCCGGGTAACTGGGATTACAGGCACACGCCACCACGCCCAGCTAATTTGTGTGTGTGTGTGTGTGTGCATTTTTAGTAGAGACAGGGTTTCACTATGTTGGCCAGCATGGTCTTGATCTCCTGACCTCGTGATCCACCTGCCTCGGTCTCCCAAATTGCTGGGATTAAGGCGTGAGCCACCACAACTGGTCCATTCACATTTTCATTGGCAGCAGAGGGTGCAGAGGCAGTGTGTGTGTTCTTGAGTCCGTCTGGTTGGGTGGGAACCCAGTCTTTACACCTTAGTAGATTTCTGAGATTGGGCAAGTCGCTGAACATCTGTTTCAGTTTTCTTATCTGAAAATGGAAATACAAATGGTACCCACTTAATAGGCTCTTGGAAGAGGACTGTGAGTTATTATTTATAACATCTTAGAGCAATTAGTGGTGCAAAGTCGAGTCCACAAATGTTCACCCCTATTTCTCATTGACTGTTATTATACCTATAAGTGCCTTGACTAACACTGTAGTCAGATCTTGAAGGGATAGTCAATAAATGTTCTTCTACCTTCTTAGAACAATGCCTAAACATAATCAACATTTGCTTTCTTTTTTCTCATTTCCCAAGGCAAGATCATCACAAGCAGAATGTGAAGAGTGTTTCTCTGTATAAAGATCAGCATTTATTTAGGCTGGTTGTAGTGGCTGATGCCTGCAATCGCAGGACTTTGGGGGGCTCAGGCAGGAGGATTGCTTGAAACCAGGAGTTGGAGACCAGCTCTGGGCAACAAAGCAAGATCCACATTTCTAAAAAAAATTTTTTTTTAATGTGCCTAGCGTGGTGGTATGTACCTGTAGGGACAACTACTTGGGAAGTTGAAGCAGAAGCATCACTTGCAGCCAGGACATACAGGCAGAAGCAAGGGGGACAAAGGGTGTCCAGCACAGCACCAGTGAATTCACCAAGACAGACACTTGGGCATAGAGTGCAAGACACAGATTTGGAATGAGGAGTCATTTACAATAAGCATGTATGCATGAGTCAATATTTTTATATATTTAAGGGAGTGGAGCCCAGTCATGGAAGACATGGGATTTGAATCAGAAGTCCTGGCTCTACCCCTATTGTGAAAACATGGCAAGGTTGCTTAACATTTGAGGTTTCTTCTGTTTCAAAATGGGAGCCACGGTTGCACCCATCTCCTGGCCTGTGTGTGATCATCGAATGAGGCACATATGAGGAGCCCTGCAGATCACAGACACCCAGTACACACTGGCTATTATCAATTAGTTATCACACATGTTGCCAGGCCCAGGTCATTGTCAGAACGTTCCTTCCCATCTCTATTTCGGTGTATAGACTCTGTAGTTTCTGTGATTATCAGATGTCCATCCCTTCCTCTGATTATCTTCTCTTCATACCCCTACAGGACAAAAGGACCCTGCCTTGGTGTGAGAGTGAGGGCAGAGGGAGCTGGAGCAAGTAGAATTTCTCTAAATACCAGCTGGCTGGGGCCCAGGAGATTAAAAAACACCGGGCTAGGTTGGTCTTGGCATTTGCTGACACGCAAAGGGATTGCAGAGATCCAGCCCCTCCAACCTCCCTCTGTCCACAGGTGGCTCACATTCAGTCCCACAATTTGCTTTCTCCTCCTCAAGGGTTAAGAAAAAAAACGAACCCTTCCAGTCAGGTCAGTGACTGGAGAGCTCCATGGAAAGTCTCTCAGTGACCTGGCTGCTGGCACCATGGACTCAGGTAGGCTTGCTTCTTCCTCTTCCCTGGCTGGTTCCTACTCGCACCTAGAATGGAGGGTGGCGTTTCCACAACTCAGTGAGCCCCAGAGGAACCCGGATGGTCAAGCAGGCCGATGAGTCTTCCCTGAGCCCCAAAAGAGGCCACATGGAGTCCCCCGACCCAAGGGTCTGTGGGGGCATCTATGTCCTGACCTCTCCTCAGGGGAGCATGGCCCAGGTGCCCACTTCCTCCCTGCCCTGGCACCTAGCAAACGACTCAAGTGGGGCACCACAGCCTTGGGGAAGTGGAAACAGCAGGGTCGGGGAGTAGGGGGAGAGCAGGGTCCAGGAGGTGCGGAGGGCTGAGAGAGGAGGTTGACCAGCAGTCCCGACCTCTGACCTCCCGCTCTGCTCCCAGCTGACCCTGGGGTGTTTCCAGCACAGGCCAGTCCCCTCCCTCCAGCTCTTGCCCTGCACCAGCCCCTCTGCTCTGAGTGGCCCTGTGAAAAGAGTGACTCAGCGTCCCACTGAACTGAGCCCCATTCTGGCCTTTGCCACGTCTTCTCTGTGTCACCTGGAGCTTCTTACCTCCCCTCACCTGGAATGCGAGTATAATATTTCCCCATGTGGTCATGAGGATCAAATAGTACATGGGTACCTGGCCCAGCCAGTGCCTGCCACACAGTAGGGCCTCCCTAAGAGTTGGTTCCCATCCCCTTTACCTGCCACTGTTGATTCCAGGTGGAAGCCCCTTTTTGTCCCCCAGGGCGCCTGCCCTGCACGGCCCATCACAAGCACCTGCTTACCAGGGATGACTGCCTCAGGCAGGGCCTCATTCCCATGATCTCAAATACCCCTTGTCAAAGAAAAATCTGAGGTCCAATCGAATTTTGAAGACTTTATTTGAGGAAGAAGCAAGTCATGAAGTGGGAAACATCAAAATGAAAGACATTTCATGTTATGATGGAAAAGTGTCAGAGGCAGGTATTTATAGGGTGAATATGGAAGTGGAATAAGGACATTATTTGATTTGTTGCAGTTGTCAAATTATGTTTTTTGGTTTACCTTGTTGGAAAATTCCTAGTCGTGTACCCGTCTGTCAGCTGGCTGCTCATGACTGGCCGAAGTTAAGTTTTGTTTGTGCCTAACGTAAGCACCCATCTGAAACGACTCCAGTTAAGTTCCCCATAGTTGGCAGTTTAAGGGGGGTTACAGCCTTTCTGAAGGCCTGTTTGCTTTTGTTTGCCCAGGTGTTCATTTTAAGTTTGCTTTAACACCCTGGTACTCCCACCCCAGCAATAAATACACAGATCTAGTGCTGGAGGTTCCCTCCATCCAACCCTGGTTTCCTTCATCCTTTCAGTGAAGGAGGAAAAAATAAAAGCAAAATACCCCTCACCCAAGTCAGCACTGTGTTCATTTCCCTAAGGCCTGTTTTCTCCCCTCACTGAGTTGCCTTGGCAACCAAGTCACATCTGCTCAGGAGCCGCCCTGGACAGCAAACTGGGCTCTGCTGAGTCCTGTCCAAGATGAGGAGAGGGCAGGGAAGATTAGAAGCCGGGACCTACCAGCCAACCCCGGAATCCTTCAGAAGGGCTTGGCTGGGAGGCTCAAGGAAGAAACTCTCTCTCCGAAACAAGATGATCTGTGGTTTAATAACGCGGCCAGCTGGGTTCAGAGGTGATAGTGGGGAGCCATGTCCCCTGAGACCAGCCTGCAGAGGACAGAGGTAACACAGAAGGGCCACAGGGATCAGTGCTGAGGGTCTTGCTCCCCTGCCCGCCTAAAGAACCCCCTCCACTGCCCATCTGAGAGCGCCCATGAGCAGCAGGAGGAATCCTCTGTGCATGGTAGTTTATTCAATGGTGTAGGGTTGAAATATTCTTTTTCAATAAAATGTTTAAAATCCCACAGGTATACTACAGTGGAGAATGCAGGAACCACAGGCATTTTCAAAATATATGGAGTCTTCAAAGTAATGGCAAGGGAACGCTGGCCTTGAGTCAAATCCTGAGCTTCCTGCTTGCTGGGTTGGGTGGTGTCTTTCGCTGTCTGGGTCTCAATTTCTCCTTCTGTGAAATGAGAATGAGGCCTCGCAAGTGTGTCCACGGCAGGAAACGATTTTACCTCATGTCCCAGTGCATACATAAATCCATACTGCTTCCCAGTCCCTTCTCTGCAGTTCCATAATTCCCAAATCCCTGCAAACCACACATTTTTGGGGCAACTCATCTGGGCAGTAATCCTGCTGTGTACTAAGATGCTTTGTACTGATAATATTATGTATCCCATTTAAGGTGAATATTCATTGGTTTCTCTGTTGAAACATTTGTACCTTTGATTACAAGGTTGAAACATTTGTAGCGTTGACCAGTGTGGGAGTGGTCAGTGATACAGCATATGCACCCTGTGTCATATTGACACAGATTGAAAATGCTGCCATCCTAAACACATCTATATCCCAGGAATTTACATAAGGGTATATATATATACACCCTTATGTATATATATATTATATATATTTCAAATATCTTACAAAAGAATACTCACTCTTGCTGTGTTCAATACACTCTGATATTTTCAATGCTCTTTTCTTTTTAAAATGCTGCTCTTGACAAAATGAACTATTTTCATAACCCACTGATGGGTCGAAACTCAGATTTTGAAGACACTGGTGTAAAGCGTTTGACAATAGGCACATGGCAGAAGGAAGCGATCACTGGAATATTTCCCGTACATGGGGAGAAAGCATGGTGGAAAGCTCACTTTCTGGTGATTCTCAGCTGAAATAGATCGGTTCCTCCACAAAGCACCATGGCACTTCCCTGGTGAATCACTCTTCTCAGGATGCCTTAGTAAAACGCCACAGGCTGGGTGGCTCCAACAACTGATGTATTTTCTCACAGTTCTGGAGGCAAAAATTCCAAGGTGAAGGTGCCAGCAGGGTTGATGTCTGGGGAGGGCTCTGCTCCTGGCTTACAGAGGCTGCCTCAGGGCTGTGTCCTCACATGGCCTTCCCAGTGTGGGGGGTGTATGTGTGTGTGTGTGTGTGTGTGTGAGTGTGTGAGAGAGAGAGAGAGAGAGAGAAAGAGAGACAGGGAGAGAGGGCTGGAAGGCAAGAGAGACAGCGAGGGCGGGGTGGGGTGAGGAGAGAGAGAGAGATCTTCTGCCTCTTTTTTTTCTTTTAACTAGACACCAGTCCTGTAGGATTAGGGCCCTACCCTTACGACTCTCTTTAAATTAATGACTTCCTTAAAGGCTCAATCTCCAAATATAGTTACTGGGGTTTAGGGTCTCAGTATATGAATTTGGAGGGCACACAACTCAGTCTATAGCACTGATGCCTCCATCAAAAATACCCCATGTGACAGCTGGTTGAGGAGGATTAACCTCGAACCACCTTATTCTCAATGCCATTTAGGCTGTAGCACACTTTCTTCCAATCTTATGCTTTTTGTTTCCAAGTAGAAAAGAAACGCTTTACTGAAGAGGCCACCAAATACTTCCGGGAGAGAGTCAGCCCAGTGCATCTGCAAATCCTGCTGACTAACAATGAAGCCTGGAAGAGATTCGTGACTGCGGCTGAATTGCCCAGGTAACCTCCGTGGGGTTACCTCCATGGGGCGCCCCGGCTATGCCATCCTGATCTCCCCTGGGCTAGTTTTCTCTGGCAGGCACACCTCCTCCAGGCAGCCCCCTCTGCTGAACTTGAGAATGTCCCTCTCAGCAGTCCAGGAGGAATATTTCCTCCAAGTCCTTCGCTGGCAGTGAGTGACCTCAGGCTGAGGGGAGAGGAAGCCCACAAGGGCAGGGTCAGTTCTGCCATCTACTGGTGATGGGAGCTTTGCAAGCTACTTGACTACTTTCTGCCTTCCTTTCTTCATCCATTGAGCTTTATTGTGAGAAAAATAAGCTAATGCATGTAAAGTATTTAGCATAATGACTGACACATGGTAGGTGCTCCGTTAATGTTACCTTTTAAAAAGATTGCTGGGGAGAGACCAGGACCAAAAGTGTTTTTCTTTTTTTTTCTTTTTTTTTCTTTTTTTTTTTTTTTTGAGACAGAGTCTTGCTTGTCCCCCAGGCTGGAGTGCAGTGGCATGATCTCGGCCCACCGCAACCTCCGCCTCCCGGTTTCACGCCATTCTCCTGCCCCAGCCTCCCAAGTAGCTGGGACTACAGGCTCCGGCCACCGCATCCGGCTATTTTTTTTTGTATTTTTAGTACAGACGGGGTTTCATCGTGTTAGCCAGGATGGTCTTGATCTCCTGACCTCGTGATCCTCCCGCCTCGGCCTCCCAAGGTGCTGGGATTACAGGCATGAGCCGCTGCGCCCGACCAAGTGTTTTTCTTAGAGTTGGATGCCCAGCAGGACTTTCTTTGAAAAAAGCCAGAAAAATCTTGACCTGATCAATGTGTGTTCCTGGAGATGCTGTCCGGGGCCCTTTTCTTCCACCTCTGAGGAACTGCACAAACACAGCAGGATCCTCCTGCTGACACAGAACACAGAGAGGCTGGAATGGAGTTGGACAGAGCTGGGGGTGGATCTTGGCTCTGTCCCTGCACAGCTCTGGGGCTGTTGTTTTATGTCTTGGAGACTGGGACCTGCCATCTCTCCAATGCTAATAGTAGTTCAATCAGATGGGCGTGTGGTTAAAGCCTGAGAATGAACAGCAGGTCAGAGGTGGGGAACCAAGTAGCATGATGCCATCCAAAGACCCAGAGAGACGTTTCAGGGGCAGAGCCAGGGGTCAGGATGGGGCAGGGGTGGGCCTGGGTTGGAGGAGCAGCAGGAAGGCTCGGGCACCAAGGCTGGGAGTAGGGTGAGAAGAGGGAGGCACTGAGGGCATGAAAGGTAACGTGGCCATGGACTTGCAGAGGACCAGTGAGTGGGAGAGGGATATTTCTTCCCTCCCTGATTTGATCCCATCACTGATGGGCATAGTGGGCCATGGGTGACTGTTTCCCTGACAGCATGCCTGGGAACTGGGGCATTCTGAACTGCCATTTGGGACCCTCTTCTGTTCTACATAGAGTAGAGGAAGTGTTTCTTCGGGCCAGCTTGGAGAGTTGGAACAAGTGTCTGCCAACTGGGTAATTTGAAGGGTTCTCAGGAGACTCACAAGTCCCCAACCAAAGAGAAAAACACTTTCTCTATCATCTTGTCCAAATGCAGGTCTTTTCAGCATTAGTGATTTATAGAGATGATTTTCAAAGTCTCATGAGTCCATAAGAGGTTCCATGAAATTGCACATGGCATTGGCATGCACACAGGTGAAGCTGTCACCTGCTAAGGCATTAGTTTGGCTGGTGACATGTGACAGTGAGACCCTGAAGCTTGGAGGTGCCAGGTCAGGAGGCCGTCAAGTGGCTTGAGAGTTCATGTGCAGCCAGGACTAATAGCCAGGCCTTTCACTTTTCAGTCAAAGGGGGCAGTGGCTGGACCCAGTGGCCTTCAGTCAGAAGATCAAAGGGCATGTGGCATTGGAAGAGAGAACATGCCAGGCAAGGTGATCTCTTCCAGTCTGAGGTTTTATTTGATAGCTTAAGGACTCAGAGTTAGTCAAAATGCAATGTCTGAAGGCACCCTTCCTTCTGACACCAGTTGCAGATTTGAAGGTGTTTCTTAAGCCCCCACTCAGGTTTGATAATTCACTACAAAGACTTACGTAACTCACTGATAACTGTTATTGCACGATTGTGGTTTATCACAGGGAAAG
Organism: Homo sapiens; assembly: GCF_000001405.40. NCBI lineage: Eukaryota > Metazoa > Chordata > Mammalia > Primates > Hominidae > Homo > Homo sapiens. Next base: position 36,143,347 of record NC_000022.11, on the reverse strand, counting down.
AACACAGATTAAAATCAGCCTAAGGAAGAGACACACAGGGCAGAGTCTGGGAGGGTTTCAGGTGTGAAGCTTCGTTGTCCTCAGGACGCTGTGTTCTCCTGTGTGAATGTGGGACAAAACACATGGGGTGTTGCCAACCAGAGAAGCTCACCCAGTTAAGGAAAAATTCCTGTGAATCACATTAGATCAGGAAGCCTTTATTCAGGATTGTGTTACAGGGGAGGGAGACTGAGCCCAGCTCCCAATATAGTAAAGACAGAGGGGGAGTCACAGCCAACACCAGGGTGAGGAGTGGGAGATGGACCAGTTCTGACTGGAGACACCAGAATGGGGGGTTTCTGCTAAACTGGCCTAACAAGCTGCTCAACTAAAGGCAGGTAAGGAGCGGGTGAAGACCGTGATCAGACAGCAAGAATGCTCAGACAGCAAGTGGGGAGGACCCTCCCTAACTGCCTTGGGGGATTCTTGCTGAACTGGGGCAGTACAGGCCCAGCAAGCACGGGATGGGCATGGAAGGTCAGCGCCTAGAGGAGAAAAGGCTCAGAGCAGCCTGACTGGAGTTTGGCCAAGGAGAAAGTCTTTCTCAACCTATGCCTCAATGTACAGAGCTCTTTCTGGGGCTGGATCACAAGCTGTCCTGATGGCTGACATGGAGTCCCCAGCCCCTCCCTGAGGTCTAACACCCTTAGTTCCCAGTTCCTTTGGAAGGCAGAAAAGATACGTAATAGCCCCAAAACCCATCACCCATAACATTGCTATACTGTGCTGTAGCCAAACCACCAGGGAAACAAAGATGTTCCTACCAGGCAGGACATTCCAGGGCCCCAGAGATCCCTTCCCAGGGCCCAAAGACAAAAGAACGACCTCTCTTCTAATAAAGTTAATCCTTCACTGTTCTATGATCCTCTGAATGAAGGTCTTTTTGCTCCGAACCCACTTCTCTTTGTTCATCTACAAAATTTCCCCTCTCCACACACTATTGGAGGGATGATGTTGACCTCTCTTGCTTGAGGAGCCATCTTTATCGAATACCTACCACTAAAGAGCATCTGAAGATGACTTTAAGTTTTTTATTCCCATACAGAATAAGTACTGTGGCATATCTATGATATACAAAACATGTTTAACCTTGGAAAAATTATTTTAAATTTTTCCATTTAAAATTTAAAGCTTTATTTCCATTTGACTCATAGTAATAGCTCTGTGATTTATGTAGAACAGATCTTATTGAGCTGATTTTACAGATAAGTAAGCTGCCTTTCTTAATCATCTGTCCTTTATTGGTACAGGGATGAGGCAGATGCTCTCTACGAAGCTCTGAAGAAGCTTAGAACATATGCAGCTATTGAGGACGAATATGTGCAGCAGAAAGATGAGCAGTTTAGGGAATGGTTTTTGAAAGAGTTTCCCCAAGTCAAGAGGAAGATCCAGGAGTCCATAGAAAAGCTTCGTGCCCTTGCAAATGGTATTGAAGAGGTCCACAGAGGCTGCACCATCTCCAATGTGGTGTCCAGCTCCACTGGCGCTGCCTCTGGCATCATGTCCCTTGCTGGTCTTGTTTTGGCACCATTTACAGCAGGGACGAGTCTGGCCCTTACTGCAGCTGGGGTAGGGCTGGGAGCAGCGTCTGCTGTGACTGGGATCACCACCAGCATCGTGGAGCACTCATACACATCATCAGCAGAAGCTGAAGCCAGCAGGCTGACTGCAACCAGCATTGACCGATTGAAGGTATTTAAGGAAGTTATGCGTGACATCACACCCAACTTACTTTCCCTTCTTAATAATTATTACGAAGCCACACAAACCATTGGGAGTGAAATCCGTGCCATCAGGCAAGCCAGAGCCAGGGCCCGACTCCCTGTGACCACCTGGCGAATCTCAGCTGGAAGTGGTGGTCAAGCAGAGAGAACGATTGCAGGCACCACCCGGGCAGTGAGCAGAGGAGCCCGGATCCTGAGTGCGACCACTTCAGGCATCTTCCTTGCACTGGATGTGGTCAACCTTGTATACGAGTCAAAGCACTTGCATGAGGGGGCAAAGTCTGCATCTGCTGAGGAGCTGAGGCGGCAGGCTCAGGAGCTGGAGGAGAATCTAATGGAGCTCACTCAGATCTATCAGCGTCTGAATCCATGCCATACCCACTGACCCCAGACCAGTGCAGCCAGCAGGGGAGGTGAGCCATACACAGGCCACGACAAAATGCAGGCATTTTATTAGGGGGATAAAGAGGGCAAGGTAAAGTTTATGGAGCTGAGTGTTAGTGACTTTGGCATTTCTGTAGCTGAGCACAGCAGGGGAGGGGTTAATGCAGATGGCAAGTGCACCAAGGAGAAGGCAGGAATGCTGGAGCCTGGAATAAGGGAGGAGAGGGGACTGGAGAGTGTGGGGAATAGGAAGAAGAAATTTCCTTTAGACTAACGAATATATTGGGGGGAGGAATAGAGGGGAGGTGTGCAGGAACCAGCAATGAGAAGGCCAGGAAAAGAAAGAGCTGAAAATGCAGAAAGCCGAAGAGTTAGAACTTTTGGATACAGCAGAAGAAACAGCGGCTCCACTACCGACCTGCCCCCGGTTCGATGTCCTTCCAAGAATGAAGTCTTTCCCTGGTGATGGTCCCCTGCCCTGTCTTTCCAGCATCCACTCTGTCTTGTCCTCCTGGAAGTGTATCTCAGTCAGCCAGTGGCTTCTTGATGATGGCGGTGGAGGTGGTGGTTGTAGTGTGATGGATCCCCTTTAGGTTATTTAGGGGTATATGTCCCCTGCTTGAACCCTGAAGGCCAGGTAATGAGCCATGGCCATTGTCCCCAGCTGAGGACCAGGTGTCTCTAAAAACCCAAACATCCTGGAGAGTATGCGAGAACCTACCAAGAAAAACAGTCTCATTACTCATATACAGCAGGCAAAGAGACAGAAAATTAACTGAAAAGCAGTTTAGAGACTGGGGGAGGCCGGATCTCTAGAGCCATCCTGCTGAGTGCCCTGTGTGTAAGTCCTAATAAACTCACCTACTCACCAAGCTGGACTTATTCGAGTCATTCCTTGGTCTCCTGGCTCCTTTCTCGCTTTGGGAGCAAGTTCCTGTCTGAAGTTTTTGTCTGAACAGTGGTAAAGGTGATGGTGATGATGTCAGCAGACAGCAGGAGGACTTGACAAATGTCAGCCCTGCTTGGGGCCAGGATACACTGAGGGAACGATGACATTCCAATGAAACTCCAAATTCTGTATTGGAAAAGTCATTGATTTGTGAAGAAAAATAAAAGGAGGCTGGGCACGGTGGCTCAGGCCTGTAATCCTGGCACTTTGGGAGGCCGAGGCGGGTGGATCACCTGAGGTCAGTAGTTGGAGACCAGCCAGGACAACACAGTGAAACCCCTTCTCTACTAAAAATACAAAAATTAGCTGGGCATGGTGGTGGGTGCCTGTAATCTTAGCTACTAAGGAGGCTGAGGCAGGCGGATTGCTTGAACTCAAGAGGAGGAGGTTGCAGTGAGCCGAGATGGCGCCAATGCACTCCAGTCTGGGAGACAGAGCGAGACTCCATCCCCCGCGTCCCCCCCCCAAAAAAAAACAAGGAAGAGAAAAGCAAAACCAGATGCCAGGAACCAATCAAGGAACTTTGTGGTGCATTGAGGAGATGAACCAGCCTGCAGTCAAGAGACCCCGCCTCTCTGAGCCTCAGTTTCCTCATCAGCTGGGAAAGAGGGGCTGGACAAGATGATATCTCAGGTCCACCTGGCTCTCTCCTCTTGTGTTCTGGAGATCTGGGTTCAAGCAACACTGATCTATGCCTGTGCCTTTGTGGTGCTGATGGATGGGCTCCCCTGGGCTCTCGGTGCCTGACTTCACTTCCTCATGATCCTTCTTCCAGGGACTCAGGGAGCTAGGCCTCCATGGCCCCTTCTGCTTGTTCTTCTGGTCGGTCATTTCTGGGCGACCCCAGTGCCCAGTGGCCTGTGAGGCACTCAGGGAAAGCTTGTAGACATCTGGCTTGGCCCAAGTGCAGGCATGGTCCCCATCTAGCAGCCAGGGCCCACGAATGACATGGGTCACACAAGGCTGACTAAAATCAGAGGGGCCTGTGTGTAGGTTGAGAGAAAGTCCATGAGAAATAGAGGAACAGAGAGAGATAGCCAGACAGCAAACACCCTCATCCAGTCTGCAAACACCCTCATCCAGTCTGCAAACACCCTCATCCAGTCAGCCCTCTCATTTCACCCAGACTCCTGCAAAAGCTTCCAGAATGGTCTTCCCTGTTATACAGCCCTTGCCACTATCCCTGCCCATCCTCCACACTGGGCCAATTTGCCCCGTAAGAACATAGATTTCTTCAAGCCCATGCTTCCATGTCTTCAATGGCTTCCTATTACTCTTAGCACAAAAGCCCAGAGCCTTCATGCTGTCTAATGTAGGCTGCTGTGGCCTGAGTTCCCCTGAAGGGAGAGCCCTAGGCAAGGCTCCCAGGCAGAGGATTTGTTTGGGAAGTGATTCTAGGAGCAGGACTGGGGTACTGGGAGGAGTGACACAGAGAAGGACAGAAGGCTGATGCCGGGAGAAATTCTTGATAGGGTCACCCATGTGGGCGACTGGAGACCTCCTGAGGAGTCTTCAAGGAGCGTCTTCAGAATGTTCCTCTACAGGGAGGAGAGAGGGAGGCCTGTAACCACTGCTCCTGTCCCCCATGGCCTTGCCCCAGTGGACATTAATTATCTGTATTTCCATGCATAGAATATAGAACTGCTGGGCGCCTCAGCTGGAGCCCAGAGCAGGGGCAAGAGATACAGAATGCACAAAATCACCCCAGAACCTCTCCTAAGTCACTCGTAAAGTGCACCCAGGGCCTACTTAGTCCTTTTTTATGTAGCATCCTGCAGAACACTTGCCTCAGTCCCTGTAACTCTCCATCAGCCAAGGCTTCCCTGACCTTCAGTTGATTCATCTATTTCTTCCTGAAGAAGTCAACAGAGCAACGGCCACCGACTTGCCTAACGCCAGAACATTGTGTTTCATTTGTCTGTCAATTGTTCATCAATTCCTGGATAATTCCCATTCTTTTCATACATTTCACTTAAGCTTTGAATGTTTCTGGCACTGAGTAATTTACTTCTTCAGTGATCCAGCCAGCATTTGCCCTGACACTTAGAGTTGAAATGCCATCAGGCTACCTGCATTTGATGCAATTCCACTGTACTGCTAGTATTGTTTAAAAATTTTTCAATTGCAAGCAACAGAAACAGAAACTATCTGTCTTAAACAAAATAGAAGATTCATTGGATGAAAACTAGAGCAGGTCAGAGGATGGAAGGAAGAACAAAATCTACAGAATTTGGAAGGACAGGAGCAGACCATTACCAACATCAGGAATATATGGTTTGCCCTTTCAGGGCTCTGCCTGCACCTGGCTTAGCTCCACACACTTTGATTCCTAGTGTCTCTGATTAAAGTTTCACATACTCAGTAGACAGAATAGCTTGGGTTAGTGACTCTTCTTGAACTAATCAGTGAGGCTATGGTATCAGGAATGGGGATGGGTAACAGAGACACAAACCCTAATGGGAAGCCTCTGGCCAAACAGCCACCTGAATTTGTGCTCATTGTATACAGTCAATCGCTTGCTACTGCACACACACTCTTCTTCTCATACAAACAAAAAGAACTCTCCTTATCTGCTATGAACCCAGCCATCCCAAGGAAAAAGGCAAATGCACTTGCCTCTTCCCCAGTGAGAGCCACACACAGCATCTCCACCTTCTGCATGCTGAAGTTATGTCACAGGAGGAGGGCCTCAGCACACGATCAATTTTTCTTTTGGTCCATTGGCAGCTTCTGTCTCAGAATTTTTGTGTGTGTATATTTGTAGAAAATAAAGAGGTACGGTCAAGGCTACAGCCACTACTGACCATTGCTGCCACCATCAGAAGTCTTGAATTGTTCCACTCAATGTTCCTCTTACTTATGGGCAAAGTCATTCTCGTGGTGTCTAAGCTCCTTGATGGTCTGGCCTCAGTAAGTTGGTGAAATTTCCTATTCACATTTACACTAATACTCTAACACTTTAGAGTATTACAAGGAGCAATCCTAGGGGATCCCTCAATTCCTCCTGTCCTGCTGTGTAATAACAACATGAGCTTCCCTGGAGGAACATGATGCATGATTATATCCAACCCAGTGACGTCATTGCTATCCCTACATCAGGGAGCATGAGAAGCCAGCTATGGTTTCTGCTGAAACAACTTTTGTCAACCTTAGATACTGAAACTTCCAGACCTAAAAGTCTGTGAGTTAGGAGTATGTATCATAAACAAAATTTTTGAAAGTGGTTTATTGTGGGTAACCATAGAGCTATCACCCTCATCTTAACCTCTGACTGCCCAGCTCCATGAATTCTGGCTATTACAGGAAATGGGGAAAATTCTGGGTATGGATTCAAAACATATCACATCCTAAGGGCAGCTCCCAGCCTCTGATATGGAGCTGAGTCCCCTTTGGGCCATTTCCATGGGACCTAAGGCTGTCATTTCCGGGGTTGAGATTCACTGGGTGCCAAGTGGTCAGCCTTGATGAGTGGGGTCCGTGTTGTGTGGTTACATAGAGCTCCACATTAGGCAAGTTGGTTAATGAGCCCATTCTGAAAATGTCAGGCTGCCTGGGGAACAGAGGAGATTTGAGCCTTAAAGAGTGACTTCTTCCCTTGTTTATTAACAGCCTCTGAGCCAGGCATGGTGACTCACGCCTGTAATCCCAGCACATTGGGAGACCAAGGCGAGTGGATCAGTTGAAGTCAGGAGTTGGAGACCAGCCTGGTCAACATGGTGAAACCCTATTTCTACTAGAAATACAAAAACTAGCCACCAGACATGGTGACGGGTGCCTGTAATCCCAGCTACTTTGGAGGCTGAGGCACGAGAATTGCTTGAACCTGGGAGGCAGAGGTTGCAGTGAGCCGAGATTGCACCACTGCACTCCAGCCTGGGCGATACAGTGAGACCCAGTCTCAAAAAAAAAAAAAAAAGAGTCTTTTTTGATGGTGGACATCTTCCAATGAGCATTCACATGGGACAGATTTTTTTTTAGTTCTACCGTTGTTCTGAAAGCTCTATGTATGTTCCTCTTCCCTAAAAATCTTTGTCACCAAGCCTCCAGATTTATTCCTTCTAAAATGTTGAAATTCCAGCTAATTCCTTAGTTGTTACCCAGGAAACAATGCAGATCCTGGTCCGAGGATGCAGCTCCTTCCAGGCAGCCTGGACTGTGAGGTGTGCTCCATTGCTCTTCAGGAACCGTCCTTGAGAGGCGTTCCACAGCAGGCCAGACCTGGGGGGAGCAGGTGGGCCAGGCGGAAAGCACAGCACAATTTGAGAGATGCTGAGTACTCATGACTCTGTGTAAGCACCTGAATTCAGCCCTCATGGTCTTTTCTGAGCTGTCAGTCATTTATCTCTATTTAGTCATTTTGCGAATTGGAGTTAGCTTCCTTCCCTCTACACTCAAAGACGGCATGTCAACATTTTAGGCCTCTGGGTGGAATGAACTCCCAGTTTCCTGGGAGGGAGCTGATTGGCATCTATTCGCCTCTTCCTAGTTTTGTGGGGTTTCCCAGCATGTGGAGTCATAGAGAAAGACTGGTCCCACCTTCTATGTAATGCCCAAGAGAATAGATGACTCTCTGTCCACCCCCACCCTGGCATCCAGGGCTTCTGGACAAGACCTAGGCTGGCTAATTGGCTGCTTCCACATGGGATCCTGAATCTGGAGCAAGTGAGGCAAAGCCCAGGGTGCTTAGAATCCATTCTCAGTGAGAGCAGCAGGACTGCCCGGGAGGGGAATAGAGACGGGGACGACCGAGTCCTGCACCAGCAGAGATGACGTCCGCAGGTGGCGGGGCAGCGCTGTGGCCGTGTCACTCCTCACAAAGCAGGGCTCTTGTGCTCGCAGCCTTCGATACCGTCTCACTGTCTTGGCTTCTATTTATCTTCCAAGCCAATTTCCAGCCTCCTACACACGTGGGGTTCTTCTGGTATCATTCCAGTGAATTTCATGTTGTTTTCTGCCCTAAGAAAACAGAGTTGGTACCTCTGCTCGACCAAGAAGCCTGATTGATACAGACTGAGAGCTGCAGGCTGTGTTTATTTGCTTCATTAACAAGAACAACTTAGGAATGGCAACTTCCATTGATGAGCTTCCTACTTTGTTCTGCGGTTGGAAAACAAACAGTTGTTTCCCTGTTGACGACTGGCCACACTGGAGAGGTGAACAGGTGAGTCACAGGAATCACTGCTTCTGCTCCCTTTAAATCTTGATGATGGCAGAAATCTCTGTAACTGCCTCTGTAACTCCTCCATGAAGTTGGTGTTGACTTTGAGTAAAATATTTAGGCAGGTATGTAAAACCAATGGCCTCCACTGGCGTATGTCACTGAAATAGTCCCCGTCCGTGGGTCTGGGTGAACAATCTGAAGCTTCCAAGAGTATTCTTTCCAGTTATCCACCCAGGAATTTGAAAAATGATGACCAGGTGAGGGTGGGACCCTGATGGACTTAATCAAAGGTAAACGAATATAGATATTCACTAATTACTTGTGCCCTATAATCTCCCCCTCTGACCCAGGCCTAAGAATTGGGTGACAAGCAGGGACTATCCAGCCTGATGACCTGTGACAGGTATCCACTCACCAGATTGGGGGTTTTGTAAAGTCAGTGGACTGTCTTCCAGCTCTATTTTGGAACCTTGTTCCTATCAAATGTCCCTTGAGCCATGATCATGCGCCCTCCTGGTGCGTGACCTGGCGCCCGCACTCTCTTTTCTTCTGGCAGTTACCTGCCTCCCCTACAGTCGGCCTCTTGGAATTTCTCCCACCCTAAAGAGACCAGAGTCCCAGCCCCTCCCCTATTATAGAGAGTTCCTGGTTATCCATTGACTCTTCTCGTTAAAGGAGCGGGAAATCTTTTGGGCCCTGGCAGGAAACAGCGTGGGCAGGAAGTGCTTGAGAAATCAAATCTAGCATTTCAGCCTCCTACACACTTTGAGTCCTCCTTCTTCTTCATCATGCCAACTAATTTCTGGCTTTTTATGTCACAAAGAAGTGATCAGCATTTAGTTGAGGGTGGCATGGCTAACACTGGGCACAGCTGGAATCCCAGCCTGCTGCTGGAGCAAACCGTGCCAGCTGAGGATGACCATGGCAAGGAAACCAAATGATGATTCCTCTTCCTTGCCGACCTCCGTCAGACCCCACCATGCAAATAAATGGTCTTCAGCTCTTCGGAGCTTTGACAGCGAGCTCTTTCTCCTGCTGCAGCATCTCACTCCTTTCCATTCTGCAGTTCACTCTCAAGGCCATACTGACTTGAACACTGGCTGTCTAGAAACAGAGAGGCAGGCAGCGGCAGACAGGAAGAGAGATGGAGCAGAGTCCTCCAGCGGGAGCTGCACCTCGGAAGCATCCTTAGATGCGGCTTGGAGTTGGGATCCTTCAATTCCCCTCAGGTATCCCTATTGCAATTTTCTGAATACATCTTGTGTTAGGCTAAATAACAGCCCC